>NC_000006.12:121737456-122040486 GCF_000001405.40 Homo sapiens
ATTTTGACCTTGGAGAATCTGATGATTATGTGTCTTGGGGTTGATCTTCTTGTAGAGTACCTTAGTGGGGTTCTCTGTATTTCTTCAATTCGAATGTTGGCCTGTCTTGCTAGGTTGGGGAGGTTCTCCTGGATGATAACCTGAAGTGTGTTTTCCAACTTGGTTCCATTCTACCCGTCTTTTTCAGGTACTGCAATCCATTGTAGGTTTGGTCTTTTTACATAATCCCATAGTTCTCGGAGGTTTTGTTCATTCATTTTCATTGTTTTTTCTCTAATCTTTTCTACCTGCCTTATTTCAGCAAGACAGTCTTCAAGCTCTGATATTCTCTCTTCCACTTGGTCGATTTGGCTACTGATACTTGTGCTTACATCATGAAGTTCTTGTGCTGTGTTTTTCAGCTCCATCAGATCATTTATTTTGCTCTCTAAACTGGTTATTCTAGTTAACAACTCCTGTAATTTTTTAAAAAATCATACTTCTTAGCTTCTTTGCATTGGGTTAGAACATAATCCTTTACCTCAATGAAGTTTGTTATTACCCACTTTCTGAAGCCTACTTCTGTCAGTTCATCCATCTCAACTTCAGTCCCGTTCTGTACCCTTGCTGGAGAAGTGTTGTGATCATTTGGAGGAGAAGAGGCATTCTGGATGCTGGAATTTTCAGTGTTTTTGCATTGATTTTTTCCTAATCTTCATGGGTTTATCTACCTTTGATCTTTCAGGCTGTATTCCTTTGGGTGGAATTTTTATGGGGTCTTTTTTGTTGGTGGTGTTGTTCTTGTTGCCTTCTGTTTGTCTGTTTTTCTTCTATCAGTCAGGCCTCTTTTCTGGAAGGCTCTTGCAGTTTGCTGGGGGTCCATTCCAGACCCTGTTTGCCTGGAAATTGCCAGTGGAGGCCACAGAACAGCAAAGATTGTTGCCTTCTCCTTCCTGTGGAAGCTTCATCTCAGAGGGGCACCAACCTGATGCCAGCTGGAACTCTCCTGTATGAGGTGTCTGCTGACCCCTCTTGGGAAGTCTCACCCAGTCCAGAGGCACAGAATCAGGGACTCTCTTAAGGAAGCGGTCTGAGTGTCCCTTAGTGGAGCTAGTGCACTGTGCTGGGGAAATCCCTCACATCTGGACCAGCCAGACTCTTCAGAGCTAACAGGTAGGAAAGATTAAGTCCACTGAAACTGAGACTGCGGCCGCCCCCTCTCGTGTCTTCTTTTCTACCTTCTTTTTGGTTAATCTATTATTTTTACTATTTCATTTTAATCTCTCTGTTTACTTTTTAGCTATTTCTTTCTTTTTGCATTTTAATTTAGCAGTTGGTTTAGAAATTATATGTATCTTTCACTATTATAGTCTGCTTAAAGTTCATTCTCTATGTATTCATAAATTTTGATCATTCCCCTCATCCTTTATTCTATTGTCAAACATTTAACATCAACATGGATAATACATTCTATAATGCACTGTTAATATTTTTTTCTTTAAACATTTAATTTTAAAAAATAAACTATAAGACAAAAAAGATAATCATTAATAGTTACGTGAGTATTTGCCATTCCTGATGCTCTTCATTCATCCCAGTATATCCAAATATTTTTCTTCTGTTATTTGACTTCAGGTTGAAAATTTTGTCTTTGGTGTACAGCTTTTTTTTTTTAATGAATTCTTTAAGGTTTCATTTACACAATGTGTTTTCCTTTCCCCCTCATTTTTCTTTCTTTTTTTTTTTTTTTTTTTGAGATGGAGTTTCACTCTTGTTGCCCAGGTGGAGTGCAATGGCGAGATCTCGGCTCACTGCAACCTCCACCTCCCAGGTTCAAGCAATTCTCCTGCCTCAGCCTCCTGAGTAGCTGGGATTACGGGCATGCACCATCATGCCCAGCTAATGTTGTAATTTTATTAGAGACAGGGTTTCTCCATGTTGGTCAGGCCGGTCTCGAACTCCCGACCTCAGGTGATCTGCCTGCCTCAGCCTCCCAAAGTGCTGGGATTACAGGCGTGAGCCACTGAGCCCGGCCTTCCCTCTCATTTTTCAATGTAATTTTTGCTGGGTATAAACATGGTTGACTTCAAGTCACGTTTATTGATTTTTTTTTTTTTTTACAATTCAATCGTAGAATGGGGTTGTAGATGAGACAAGTATCAAAATTTGATTTGGCTAGATTTAATTGTGGTTTAACAACAAACAAGACCCTGGCCCTGACTAAGGAGTTCACAGTCTATGATATTTATGGAGACAAACTATAAATATATAAAAGTTTAAAAAGTAGTAATTGAAGTTTAATAAATGGATATTCCTGAGGGAAGGAAGGATACAAGAGCTAAAAAGAAATTATTTAGGCAGTTAGTGAGGGTAAGAGAGTCCTTGGCAAGGTTTCCTGTCTTAACAAAAAGCAGCCCCCAAATCATTTCTTTTCTAACAAAGAGCAGCCTGTAAAATCAAGCTGGAGACATAGAAAGGCAAGCTAGAAGATTGCACAGGTGAATGCTGTCAGCTGTGCCAATAGAGAAAAGCTACCTAGGGGCCAGGTATGTTCTACCTGGAAGCTCCATCTTTCTTATTATTTGTCAACCACATGTACAGTAAAGAAACAGGTGGCCGGGTGCAGTGGCTCATGCCTGTAATCCCAGCCCTTTGGGAGGTCAAGGCAGGCTGATCACGAGGTCAGGAGATCGAGACCATACTTGGTAACATGGTGAAACCCCGTCTCTATTAAAAAATACAAAAAATTAGCCAGGCGTGGTGGCATGCGCCTGTAGTCCCAGCTACTTGGGAGACTGAGGCAGGAGAATCGCTTGAACCCAGGAGGCAGAGGTTGCAGTGAGTCAAGATCATGCCACTGCACTCTAGCTTGAGCAACATAGTGAGACTGTCACAAAAAAAAAAAAAAAAAAAAGAAGCAGGCAACATGATACCGGCTATGTAGAGGCCCCATCTGCATAATAAAACATAAGAATGGGGCTGGGCACAGTGGCTCACACCTGTAATGCCAGCACTTTGGGAGGCTGAGGTGGGTGGATCACTTGAGGTCAGGAGTTCAAGACCAGCCCAGCCAACATGGTGAAACCCCGTCTCTACTAAAGATACAAAAATTAGATGGGCGTGTTGGTGGGTGCCTGTAATCCCAGCTACTCAGGAAGCTGCTGCAGGAAAATTGCTTGAACCCAGAAGGCAGAGGCTGCACTGAGCCAAGATCGTGCCACTGCACTCCAGCCTGGGCAACAGAGGGATACTCTGCCTCAAAAAAAAAAAAAAAAAAAGAAAGAAAGAAAGAAAAGAAAAGAGAAGAGAAAGAAAAAGAAAGAAATCAGGGTAAAAACTTAATAATAGGACTATTATACTGGATAAAATATCAAATTGGATGACTTCTAAGATTCTTTGATGGGAGAACCACTTCAAAATCAAGAAGTTTAGAAAGATAATAAACTGACAAATATGGCAGCATATATTCATTTGGGAAAGGAACAACATATTTGATAAAATACTTTGTAGGACAGATAAAAAGATATAGAGAGATAGATATAAAATTAAAACTGTTAACAATGCCCAACAACTTTTTTCTTTTCGGCACATTTATTTACCATTCCATAGAAGAGATGATAAGGAATCCAAAAACATTATTTCAGCTGTCACTATGGCTGTCTGTCTAAGTTACTGTTCATTATGAGACAGGTATTATGAGATAAAATCATATCATTTCTTCTGTTATAAGATAGGAAAACCATATTTCTTACCTACTCAAGCTACATTTAATTCTTAATTGAGGACTAAAATGTTAGGAGGATGCCCTAGAATAAGCTTATTAGACTTAGAGGAGATAAGCTTTTATCCTGGGAAGATTACAGTTATAAAATATAGTGTCAGAAACTATAAGGAATTTTTTTTTCAAGGAGCTAAAAATAGCTATGTGGAATATACACAGGTGACTATTTTCTTCTTCACTTTGACTTTAGATCCTTTTCTAATTAGTTTTTCTTCTCTCTGTAGCCTTTCTTCTCTCTGAAGTCTTTCTTCCTCCTTTTCTCATAAAAACTGAAAGAATATTTTAGTAAATATATATCATTTATATAAACATATATTTTATTATTGAAAAGCATGTTTCCAGTAAGCAAAAATCAAGCCTTTGTAGGCTTTATAAGCAAAAGTTGACACATTGTCCACTTAATTTAATATTGACATTATGAAATGATATCTTTATGTTGATGTAGATTAGAAGTCCTGCCTAATATGGAATCTTGCAGTGATAATAGGCCATACAAAAAGAAGAGAGCTTAATGTGTGGGAATATATGGAAAAATTGAGGGATGTTAGCACTAGAAATATAATACCAAAAAGGACAGAGCATCATAAATTCGTAGTGTAATTATAAGCTGACAGAGAGGAATGGTTTCCCTTGATTTGTTTGAACTTTTTATGTAATATGCAATTTTTGTGTCATATTTGTGAAAGCTATTTTTTTCCAGCTTGTTAGATGATGGCAGTAGTTCTTAATAAATAACACAAGCAATGAGATAAATAACTGTGTCTGTGTGTGTGTGTAGTTATTAAGTATCTATTTATTACACTTGAATGACTACTTTTAAAACTTTTTATATATTTATAGTTTGTCTCCATAAATATCATAGACCGTGAGCTCCTTGGTCAGGGCCTGTGTCTTATTTGTTGGTGGATAAACCACAGTTCAACCTAACCAAACCAAATTTTGATACTTGTCTCATCTACAACCCCATTCTATGTTTGAATTGTAAAAAAATCAATAAGCATGACTTTAAGTCAACCATTTCCACTTGTTCAGTTTTCCTAGGTGGGGTTTTGGGATTGAAGGTATGTAAATATTTCCTTATAGAGTAGAAGATAAGCAGTCTGAGGCTGAGGAAATGGAGCTTCCTCAAAGAAGCCTTCATTGGAGGAGAGGGAGGAGAGGTAGCAGTGGGTATTAGAAATGAAAAATGTTTTTTTTTTTTTTTTTTGAGAGGGAGTCTCGCTCTGTCTCCCAGGCTGGAGAGCAGTGGCGCAATCTCAGCTCACTGCAAGCTCCGCCTCCCGGGTTCACGCCATTCTCCTGCCTCAGCTCCCGAGTAGCTGAGACTACAGGCGCCCACCACCACGCCTGGCTAATTTTTTGTATTTTTAGTAGAGACGGGGTTTCACCGTGTTAGCCAGGACGGTCTTGATCTCCTAACCTCGTGATCCACCCGCCTCGGCCTCCCAAAGTGCTGGGATTACAGGCGTGAGCCACCGCGCCTGGCTGAAAAATGTATTTCTTATTGATTGCTGGTGAGTCGTGAGAGTGGGGAAGCATTAAGAATGAAGAAGCATCTATGATAACCTCAAGAATTCTGTTTTTGCACAGGGACATGCTCAGGCCGAGAACAAAAACCTTTCTTCTTTCTCTTTTCTTTTCTTTGTTTCTTTTTTTCTTTCTCTTTCTTTCTTTTTTTCTTTCTTTCTCTTTCTTTTCTTTCCTTCTTTTCTTTCTTTTCTTCTTTCTTTTTAATTGAGACAGGGTCTTGCCTTGTTGCCCAGACTAGAATGCAGTGGGGCTATCATAGCTCACTGCTTCCTCCAATTCCTGGGCTCAAGGAATCCTCCTGCCTCGGCATCTCGTGTAGCTGAGACTATAGGCGTATGTTACCACACCTGGCAATTTTTTTTTTTTTTTTTTGAGACGGAGTCTCGCTCTGTCACCCAGGCTGGAGTGCAGTGTGTAAAGACCATATCTCGCCAACTTACTCAGACTGGTCTTGAACTCCTGGCCTCAAGGGATTCTCTACCCTCAGCCTCCCAAACCTATATCATCCTAATAGTAGATAAACCTAATATTCATTCATATTTTTGAAGTTATACTATGTTCTAATTTTCTGATTAATTCCCCTAGTTTCTTCCCTTTCACTCTCAGATATATAGTTTTGGTTGACAGTATTTGAAATTTGTTTTGATAAAAAGAAAAAGTTGATTTTTATAATCATGTATCCCCTTTTGCTTATGATAAATCCTCTTTCATGTAAACACTGATGTCTTCAAAGTTGTATTTCAAACACTGAACACCACTCCTTCATCATGTATTCATATCATTTATTATTGATTGGTCCTTTTGGGAATTTTTTTTTACCCAGGTCTCTGAAGCTGCACCAGTTTCCACTTTTTTACATGTACATTCTCTTCAACTAATAGAAAAGCCAAATCAGTTTAAGAAAAAAGTCAACATAATAGCCTTAAAGATTTAGAAATTGCTATAGCTAATTTAATCTGTTGTTTGGATGACTAAATTCTCATGACAGCCAGATCAGCCATGCATATACAAATCATAGAAATTAGAGCTGGCATACATGATGACTGCCCTCTAGTCAATACACTCATCCTGCAGATAGGAAAACTAAAGTGAAGGAGGTAAAGTAGCTCACTCAAGATCCCACTGCTAATTTGTGTCTTTTCCATGGGTTGCCAATGGAAAAGTTAAACTAACATGCTTCATTTCATTTATTCTCACTGAAATTACTTCTTTCACTCTTAATAAGCTTTGAAGGAAGGGAACCAAAAATGTCCAGAGGAGAGGAATCATCACAGCGCTTTTCTGTCTTGTTTCTTTATTTGTTTGAATATTGAATTATGAGATTTCCATTGCTTCTGACCCTTTCTATTTTCCTGTAAATAGTGATGGTCCAAAATTGCCTTTAAGCACTGAGCACCACTCCCTTTTACCCATCCGCATCTAATTATTTCTTTTTTCTTTTCCTCTCTTGTCAAGTTAATAGTGTCTGTCGATGTTTTTAGAGGGCAAATCATGTGTGAAGCAAGACCATTTTTAAAGTTCCTGGCACAATAGATGATCAGTCCAAATATTTGTACAATACATGCTGTGCTTCATGGATGGCTGCTGATAATTGTATTGAGGGCAAGACGCAAGGTTTCCCTCCAAGGCACAGATTCAGATTCAAAAATATTTGATAGAGACAATCAAATTGGAAAGGATGATGGAATTTGTTGCAAATAAGCTGGGAAGAGCAGTTGAAATGAGATCCAGATAACACTGTTATTGTCCTTTACTATTTGTGAGGACACTGAGATGTATTTTGCACAAATGACTCAAATGCATTTTATTAGGAAAAAGACTCCTACAGACTATAGAGGTTTAAAAAATTTCATTTTTTCTTCATAGTCAAATGTTAAACACTTGTAAAGTTAAAGATTGTGCGCTATGTGATTTATGGCTAGAGATGAAGGGAAAAGAGAGAAGAACAGGCACCAGCCAGACAACATCTGCCCTCCAAAGAGTTTGTTTTTATTTTCTTAAAGCATTTGGGAAAATGTTTGGCAGTTACTTTTTCCTAAATCGCTATGATGAAAGCATTGCGTTAACAAGTGTGTCTTAAATGAATAACATCTCATTGTTTGTGAGAGCGTTACCTATCTGTTTTACAGTAATTCAATATTTTTGCCTTCAGTAATAAATGATATCTTATTTTTAGTGTATCTCATTCTTTCATAAGTTTTATTTAACCATGTCCCATCACCTTAATGAGATGGGCAGTGGGTGCTCAAAGGAAACAGGCACCTAAACAGTTAAGAGTTTATCGTCATATAACTTTCATACTCTGTATGTCAGATTGATGCTATGTTTCATGAGTAGAGGCCGCAGTACTCTCTGGGTACTCTGCTTCAGTGAAAAACTTTATACAAATAATATTTGAATAGATTTAAGAAAAAATTTCATGTACTTTATAAATCTTTACAAATAAGAAAATAAGTTCCAAAAAGGCCCCATGTCCTGCCCGTTTTTTCCTAACATTTCTGTTGATCACTGGGTTTATCAAGGATACCTTCATTTCTATTATATTCTGAATTTAAGGGTCCATGTAAGGTTAAAAACTTTTAAAACATCTTCCTACTTTACTACCTATATAACTGACATTTATTAAACACCAATTATGCACTAAACACTATGCCATGTATCATCAGTCATTATAAACCTATAAGAGATATACTTTATTATTCTAATTTGGCAGATTACAAAATTAGGCTCAGGTCAAATATCTTGCTCAAAATCACATAGCTAGTGAGTTGTGGACCCAGAATTTGAACCATAGCAGCTTGATTCCAGATGTTATACTACACTTAAAAAGCACATATATGCAGGTGTTAGATACAATAAATCATAGTACAAGTGCGTAATACATATATATTTTTTCTTTCATCGGGCAGAGTTTAAATTTTAGTTAAGGGTTGGATATTGCTATCAATTTATAGTCATAAAAATATAACCAGAAATATAAAAAGGTGCTCAGCGTAGTGCCTGGGCCATAATAAATGCTCCAAATATTTGTTAAATGACTGAATGAAAGGCATCAGGTAATCAGCATTTAAGTAGTACAGATAATAACTATCATTCAAGCTTACAGAAGGAAGAAAAAAGCATTCCCTTTCTGAAAACATAAATTGCATTTTTAAAATGTCATAATGGGAAAAACTTGACATTGACATTGGTCAGTCTAATAAAATGGACAAAAAACGAACATTTTGAGACTCTCATCTATTCAATATTTTATCTTTGACAGTGACAAAGGTGATGTTTTAACAGTAAGTGCTGCTAATAATAAGTAATGTACTTAAACATCTATTTATCTTATAAATTTTAAGACATCTATAAGTGAAGACCATGTACCTTGGTTTAAATGTCTCCTCCAAAACTCTTGTTGAAATGTAATTGCGATCATTACAGTGTTAAGAGATGGGACCTTTAAAAGGTGATTAGGTCATGAGGATAGAGCCCTCATGAATGGACTAATGCCATTATCTTGGGAGTAGGCTCCTGGTAAAAAATGAATTCAGCCCAATTTTCTTTCTTGAGTGTGTGTTCTCTATGTGAGACCTTCCACAATGTTTTGACCTCATCAGGAGTGGCCCCTTGATCTTGGACTTCTTGGCCTCCAGAACCATGAGCCAATACATCTCATTTTTAAATAAATTACTCAATATGTGGTGTTCTGTTAATAGCAGCAGAAAATTGAATAAGAGATCATGTTTCATAAGCTCGATTATCTAGCATACACCAAAATCTTTGGCACATATTAAGTATGAATTTGCAATTAAATTATGAATTTCTCATGCATGAATTCTAATCACTTTCTGAGATTAGTTTCACAAGTATCTCTAAGGGATAAAAATTCCTTATGTTGAGTACACTCCATTGAAGCAGAGCTCATTTTTATTTGTATTTCATCATTCAAATATACTCAGATGTCTCATTCTACAGCAGGCTCACTCCAGGCTTCCTAACACAATCTTATAGACTCCTCAGTCTTTAGTTTTCATGTCTGACTTCTTGTTTCTTTTACTTTTCTTTCACTATTTTAAGAAGGTTTTGAATCTAGGTAATATAGAATTATCTATGTTCTGTTCTGTATCATATCTTGGAAACAATGTTAGAAGAAAAATATAATTACAAAAACAGCTTGATTAGCCTTTTAAGAGGTAAAATATCCAGCATCTTTATGGAAAAATAATGTAGTCAAATAATTATTTTGAAAGATGTAATTATTTTGAAAGATGTAGAGCATATGTATTGTGTATGTATGTTTGCATGATGACACTTAAATATCAGAAACTAAAAAAAACTCTTTATGAAGAAAGAATACATTATTTAAATATGTAATTTTAAAACTGTTCTATATACATATTCCATATCACTTATTCTACAACACTGCTAATTTTTCTATGTTCCTATTCAAAATGCTTCATATTCATTTATAACATAAAGTACAAATATCTTAACCTGGCATTGAAAGTAAGATCTATTTTAAACTTATCTTCACGATCTTACCTTTGCCATTTCCATTAGAGAAACTTCACATCATACTCATTGACTTATTATCCCTCAAATAAGTTTTTTTTTAACTCCTTCCAAATATTTATTCTTTCTATGTTCTGTTCATTTCAGCTCATTGTGCTCTTTATTTACCTTCTTGGAACACTTGTAATTATTAATTATACCTCGTTTTTTAATTAATCAAATATTTTCCTGCTAAAGAATGGCTTTGTAATTCAAGGATAATTGCCTTGAAAGACAAAAGACCACAGTTGCAATGTTATTTTAGTTTGCCAGTAAGGAGCTGTGTGACCCTGGTAAGTCAATTAAACTTCTTTTATTCTAAGATTTATTAAGTCTAGGTAAACATTTTAGCATACCTTTTTAAAAACACTCTTAATCTAGGAGTCGGTGTTATATAAAATGAAATTTTCAAATTTGTTACTCTTCAATTAAATAGAAATCGTTATATTAGTGATTATCATTCTCTACCCATTAGACTGGCAAAAACGGAAAATGTCTTTAACCTACACTGCTTGTTGAGACATGGTGAAAAATCACTTGTTCACTACTGGAAGAAATGTGAAGTGTTTCTGCCTTTATGGATATATGTATGTATAGATATCATTCAACCAACAAATTTTATCACTAGAAATACCTCATAGAAATAAAAAGCATCAGTATTTACAAATATATATACATGAGTATTAATTGCTGCATGTTTAATATAAAAATTTTCTTCATAGGAGTAAAGTAGCAAATAAAAGTGGATGGAGGAAAAGAGTGTGCCTATCAACAGGTCAAACTGATTTATCATGCACATGAACCATTATGAATAAATGGATTGGACTTATGTGAAATGACTTGTGAGAACTTCCGTGAAGTTTTAGTTGAGTGAAAAGGGAGCAGAATAACATTGAAAATGCAGAATTTATAGGTTGCAATTATAAACAGCATTTTCTACCCACAACTGCTCTTGTGGATTTAGTAGAGCTCTAGAAGTTCTCCTGCCACTTGGCAAAATCTAGGGCAAACTCACAATTTCTGCTCACTGTTAGAAAATAAAATGTCTTTCAGTCATTTGAGCTTACAAAAGATCCAGTTTAGTAACTAATGTGTCCAGTCGATGTGATAATTAAAGACTTCATTCAAAGTTAAAGCTTTTAGTCTCCCTAGCTCTGGTCTGGTGCTGAAGAAAAGGCTATCTGCCTGGCTATGTTTCCGCCCTTTTGGCCATGACTGATTAGGTTTGGTTTCTAACTCCTCGAGCATCAAAGACTGGTAGTAGAGGAAGGGAGGAGGAGAGCTTTGTAAAGGATTAGGAAAGATCTTGTGTGACTAAGTTGTCCTGACTTGGTATTTTCCAGGCTTGGCAAATGTTTAAAGCTGACTCTATTTCTGATGAATGGTTTGTGGGTTCTTTAGAGAACTTCCTATTACTGAGTACGTCTCCTTGCAGTTCACTTGACTTGAGCTGATACAACTCTTTGTCTGCTATTATCCAATTTCTTCCTAGTCCCCTGGGCATCTGGGTGTACACTTCAGCGTCCCTCTGCTGAAGCCTCTTCACCACTCCCAAAAGCCCTCTTGGCAGGATCTACAGCAGCGCCATACCAACCCTCTCTTCTATAGTTCATGTCTTGTTCATGGGAAAGATACACCCCTGGCCCTCTGTTGACAGACCACAGTATATTTCCAATCATAGCTCTCTATTCTGCTGACCCAATCTCCTTCAGCAGTTCTCTCACCTTTTGTCCCTATCAGCACTGAGCTCACATATCAAGCTCTGCCACTGGTTTCTCTGAAATCCCACTCACTAGGCTTGAGGCAAGAGATAAGCCCTTTCATCCAGTCTCCCATGGGAGCAGCGGTTGGCATTCTCAGCTAATTGGTAGCTCTCTCCAGTGAAATCTTCAGTCTTCAACTCTGGGCTCTTCAATCTCCACCCTTTTGTATTCTGCTTGGAAGATGGTCTAAAATTTGCTTTTCAATCCTCTACTTTGTATATTCTGTCTATATGAGCAAGTCATCATGCCTCAGGCAAAACTGAGGCAGAATTACCTTTCACTGCTTTTTTTTTTTTTTTTGAGACAGAGTCTTGCTCTGTCACCCAGGCTGGAGTGCAGTGGCGCGATCTCAGCTCACTGCAAGCTCTGCCTCCCGGGTTCACACCATTCTCCTGCCTCAGCCTCCTGAGTAGCTGGGACCACAGGCGCCTGCCACCACACCCAGCTAATTTTTTGTATTTTTAGTAGAGATGGGGTTTCACCATGTTAGCCAGGATGGTCTTGATCTCCTGACTTTGTGATCCACCTGCCTCGGCCTCCCAAAGTGCTGGGATTACAGGCGTGAGTCACCGCGCCTGGCCACCTTTTACTGTTTTTGATATAATCTCACTTTATATGTACATTAGTTGTCTATTGCTGCATAATAACAATTTTATCACAAATTTAGCAGCTTAAAACATCACAGTTTTATTATTTCACAGTTTCTGTGAGTCAGAAGTTAGGCCATGGCTTAACTGGAACCTCTCTTCAGGGTCTCACAAGACTGTGTAATCAGGGTGTTAGCTGTGGCTTGTCTGGGGAAGGATCCCCTTCCCAATTCACATGTCTGCTGGCAGCACTCAGTTCTTGTAGATTGTTGGACTGAGAGTGTGTGTTTCTCGCAGGCTGTCAGCTGCAGACTGCCCCCAGTTCCGGGCCGTGTGGGCTTTCCTAACGTGACCACTGGCATCCTCAAAGCAGTAAGAGGGAGAAAGCCATTCCTTAAGACAGGCGCTACAATCTTATGTGACATAATCACATACATGTAATCATGTATACTCAATCACCTTTCCTATACTTGACTTATTAGAAACAAGTTGATCCCCCTCCTGCTCAAGGTGAGGGAATTATACAAGGGTGAGAATATCAAAAGGTGAGAATTATGGGGGTCACATTAAAGTCTGTCTGCCACAATGTGATAAACAATTTTAAAAATCAGATATATGTTTGTGTTTGTCTATGAGTGTAGGTATATGTCTATAAAATATTCTGCGGCTACGGAGAAAGACACTAGGCTTTGATACAGGTTATCATGAAGGGAGATAATGGAATGTTTTAGTATAATAAGGAAGAGGAAAATGGGGCAGGGAATCCAAAAGACAAAAAAAAATTGCTCATTTAAAAATAAGCATGCATATTATCACAGTTATTCATTTATATAAAATACATATATATGAACTATATATACATGTACATGAATTATATGTAAAGAAATTAAATGAAAACTATGTTACAAATAAAAAATTAAAAAAGAAAGATTTATTTTCTTGCTTTTCTTATAAGATGCTTTTTCCAAATTTGGTTAATAGAACTGAAGTGTTGTGTTTTTTTTTTTTGAAAACAATGTAAAAACAACAATAGTGCCAAAAGCAAAAACTTTAGCAAATGAACAGCATTTTTATTTTGTATTTATTTTCAACTTTTATTTTAAGTTCCAGGATACATGTGCAGAATGTGCTAGTTTGTTACATAGGTAAACATGTGCTATGGTGGTTTACTGCACATATCAACCCATCACCTAGGTATTAAGCCCAGCATCCATTAGCTATTCTCCCTGATGCTCTTCCTCCCTCTTCCTCCCCTTGCTCCCCCAACAGGCCCCAGTGTGTGTTGTTCCCCTCAGTGCATCCATATGTTCTCATCATTCAGCTCCCACTTATAAGTGAGTTCATGTGGTCTTTGGTTTTCTGTTCCTCCGTTACTGTGCTGAGGATAATAGCTTTTAGCTCCATCTATGTCCCTGCAAAAGAAAGATATAATCTTGTTCCTTTTACGGATGCATAGTACTCCATGGTGTATATGTGCCACATTTTCTTCATCCAGTCTATCGTTGATGGGCATTTGAGTTGGTACCATGTCTTATCTATTATGAATAGTGCTGCAATGAACATATGTGTATGTGTATCTTTATAATAGAATGACTTATATTCGTTTGGGTATATACCCAGTAATGGGATTACTGGGCAAAATGGTATTTCTGCTTCTAGATCTTTGAGGAATTGCCACATTATTTTACTCAATGGTTGAACCAATTTACATTCCTATCAACAGTGTAAAAGTGTTCCTTTTTCTCCACAACCTTGCCAACTTCTGTTGTTTCTTGACTTTTTAATAATGGCCATTCTGACTGGTATGAGATGGTATCTCATTGTGGTTTTGATTTGCATTTCTCTAATGATCAGTGATGTTGAACTTTTTTTCATATGTTTGTTGGCCACATGTATGTCTTTTTTGAAAGTGCCTGTTCCTGTCCTTTGCCCACTTTTAGTGGGGTTGTTTTTTTCTTGTAAATTTAAGTTTCTTGTAGATTCTGGATATTAGTCCTTTGTCAGATGGATAGATTGCAAAATTTTTCTCCTATTCTGTAGGTTGTCTGTTCACTCTGATGACAGTTTCTTTTGCTGTGCAGAAGCTCTTTAGTTTAGATCCCATTTGTCAATTTTTGCTTTTGTTGCAATTGCTTTTGCCATTTTCATCATGAAATCTTTATCCATACCTATGTCCTGAATGGTATTGGCTAGATTTTCTTCTAGGGTTTTTATAGTTTCAGGTTTTATGTTTAAGTCTTAAATCCATCTTGATTTAATTTTTTAATTTTTTTTTGAGACAGAATCTTGCTCTGTTGCCCAGGCTGGAGTGCAGTGGTGCATCTTGGCTCACTGCAACCTCTGCCTCCTGGGTTCAAGTGGTTCTCCTGCCTCAGCCTCTCAAGTGGGAGGAATTACAGGCACTCACCACCACACCTGGCTAATTTTTGTAGTTTTAGTAGAGACAGAGTTTCACCATGTTGGCCAGGCTGGTCTTGAACTCCTGAGCTCAGGTGATCCGCCTGCCTTGGCCTCCCAAAATGTTGAGTTAATTTTTGTATAAGGTGTAAGGAAGGAATCTAGTTTTAATTTTCTGCATATGGCTAGCCTGTTCTCCCAACACCATTTATTAAATAGGGAATCCTTTCCCTATCCCTTGTTTTTATCAAATTTGTCAAAGACTAGATGGTTGTAGGTGTGCAGTCTTATTTCCGAGTTCTCTGTTCTATTCCATTGGCCTATGGAACAGCATTTTTAGTTATGTAATTTACAACTTTAGAACGTTAAACTGTTTCTACGCACAGATGTAACAATCAAAGTGTCTTCAAATGTACACATATACCACAGACATCACACCATGCCCCCCAACCCCTCAACTACATATCAGAGTCCAGCTTTGCTATTAGTTTGCAGGGTAAGAGAATGGAATTTGGTGAAGTGATTGTCAAGTGTTTAAAAACTGTCTAAAAGGTTCTGTTTTGGAGCATCCAAGGAGAAAACAACAAATGAAAATAGTTATCAGATTCAAAATAATTCCAATTGAATAGTAAACCTCAATATTTGGAAGCTGGTAACTACAGAAAGAAAATGATAATAGTATTATTATTTAATTACCTAGACACAATAGTAATCTAGCTTCTTTAACAAAATGAGATATAGATTCAATTTTCCAAAGAACTAAGTATCATATAAATTTTGATAGGTAGAAATTGAATGAAAAAGGCAAAAAGATTTCAGCCTTTTAGGTATATTGAATTGATAGACCTAGCACAAAATTTAGTGTTTGTCACTTTCTCATGGGGGTCTACCTAGTTTATGGCCTTTCTTCCTACTTTCCTTTTCTTCTCTCTCTTGCTGTGGTATGAGTTGCTTTGATTCCTGTCTTTATTTCCTCCTCTTAATCTAGATCCCTTTTAATCTAGATTCAACATTTTTTTTTCTCTCTGACAGAGTTGATGACTTTTCAGCTCTCCTCTTCCATGAAAACATGTTTCCATTATCACACTTAAATTGCTCTCAAAATTATTTGCTTATAAGCTGTCATCTCCAGCAAAGTGGGAGCCCTCGTTTATCTCTTTTTCACCCAATATGTGTACCGCGCTTGGCATTTTGGCAGTATGTATTGATGAATGAATGAGTCTTTCACTTATTTTTATAATGTGTTTGCCTCTGTAGCTTTACTCACCTATACTCTATCCTCCCTTTACTACTTTTCGTTCTGCAAGGCCCAAACGTTTTATAGTTGGAAGGAAACTGAGAAATGAAGCATTCAGTGTTTCTAAGGGTACAGTCTATGAAATCTAGGTTTTAGAGTACCCACTCATTAAAACTGTATATTCCAGAGTGCAAACCCACATCTACTGAAACAGAATCATTTGGGTAGGTTTAAAGAACTGATCTCGTTTACAAGCTCCTGCATTATTATGCAAACTAATTGAGTAATTTATAAATGAAATAAAAAAGAGTCAACTTGAATCCTTAGGACTTGGGAAGCCATTTAGGGACCAATGTGATAATATCCAAAATTGTGACAAAGGTCAATGCATTCCTTAATTTCTTCCTTTCTGAATGTATGTGACTTAAAGGGCACACATGAGTACCAATACTTGGATTTTTTTGGCATGAAATAAACTTATCCTAGAGAATGTGTTCTATTACTTAGATTAATACCATGAAATTGACTTATGTTCAAGCTCTAGTTATGAAGATCCCTGTGGATCGGCATGGGAAGGTGGCCTGTTTGCATTTGGATGTATCTAAATGGAAACATTTACGGCCACTCAGTAATCATTACTGAACTCAGGTAATAAGAATAAATCTGTTCTATGTGCTTAGATTGTATAGTCGGGTATAGTTTTCATAGTCGTTTATCTCATAGGACTTTGTAAGGCTTTTCATTGATTTTGTATTTGTGTGCCCATTATTGAAAGCAGTGGTAGGACTGGTGCACTATTAGATTATTTATATAGCTAAGAAGTCATAGGTTTCTCTTAAGGTGTTGCCTTTTTAGTTGAATTTGAAAGGACTCCAGTGATTATTCCCTTTCTAGGAAAGAGCCTAACTGTAAACAGAAAGAGGTCCACGTAAGAACTATGATATCTATGTTTAGTTGTCATATATTTTCTCTCTCCTTCCCGTTTTTAATTCCCCTTTCTACTTTCCTGTTTCTCTCTCTCCTTCTCTTCTTTTCTTTCTCCATCTCCCTGCTGAATTCTCTGACACATATATACACAATTAAGGAGTGAATAAAACAAGTTAATATCACTCTCAAATTGTTAACAAAACTCAGATGTGTTTCCAATTTAGGACCCAATTACAGTTCCATTTTTAGTTTTTCCATACACAGCTGCATACCATGTTATTCACAATTTTCCCTTTGCCAAAGATAGTTAAACATTGATTTAAGACAATCTGACAACAATGTACATTTTCTTCAAATATTGTCTTCAAAATCACAAATAGTCTTTTATATATTCTTCATAAGAATTCTGAAGTGTTACTCTTAAAGATGTTACTACTTATGTGTATAAATAGAAGTGAAAAAACTAAAATGCATTCCTCCCCATCATTTAGAGGTGCTATGCCAAGTCTTTAAACTCATGTGGACTTGTCTTCCGGGACATGTGCTTTACTTCTACACTGAAAAGATTCACCCCTCATGCTGACTGATGCCCCTCTATGATGGCCTGGCTACTGTCTCCTTTCAATCACCTAAGAAAAATTACTTAGAGAAATTGAAAAAACTTTGAGTAGCATTCTCTAGTCAATCACTTTCTCATAAAACTGAGACCCACGTAGGTTGGAGTGACTTGCCTTTGGTTACAAATGAGGCCATGATGAGGATAGGTATAGAGCCCGTTGCTCATGATGTTCATTTTTTTTCAGGCAGTAATTTCTTGCAGAATTTTGTTCTCCTTCTTGTGCTTTTGGTTGCTCCAGCATAAGCCTTTAAAATGTGGTACTTTTGCTATGAGCTGTGCAAGTTCAAACCAAAAAGAGATAGGCCGGGCGCGGTGGTTCACGCCTGTAATCCCAGCACTTTGGGAGGCCGAGGCGGGCGGATCACGAGGTCAGGAGATCGAGACCATCCTGCCTAACATGGTGAAACCCCGTCTCTACTAAAACTACAAAAAATTAGCCGGGCCTGGTGGCAGGCGTCTGTAGTCCCAGCTACTCGGGAGGCTGAGGCAGGAGAATGGCATGAACCCAGGAGGCAGAGCTTGCAGTGAGCCGAGATCGCACCACTGCACTCCAGCCTGGGTGACAGAGTGAGACTCCTCTCAAAAAAAAAAAAAAAGAGATAATAGATTTTAAGTGGGACTCTGATGTACATTAAATGCTATTATAAGTTGATCTGGAAGGTGATTTTTAGGCTAGTTCTTAAAGAGCAGTTTGGACCACACATCCTTTTTAAAATCCGTAGCTGAATTTGGAGGCTGACATACTGAAATAAATTTCCATAAACCCATTGGAAAAAAATATTTCTTCACATTTACTTCTAGTTTACTCTTTGTCAATCTTTGGATTGCTTCCTGATTGATGAGAACAAGATTTTAAGTTTTATGAGGTAAGTATTATTGTTCCCATGATGCAAGTGAGGAAACTCCCAGGAAGAGTTTATGAACTCTTTGTGAACATGATGAAATATATGAAAATAAGTTACTGAAGCTTTCTATAAGGCTTCTAAAGCCATGATACAGGGAAAATAATATCAACCTCACAGCAGCTGAGGTGATCCAGTGAAACAGTGCCTGTGAAGTTCTCAGCATGGTGCTGGACCACTGTTGGCACCCAGTGTGAGGTTACTATCATAGAGTTCCTAAAGGTTTTAATTTAAAGTACAGGTAGGAAATGATGTTCCTCAGAGAATTTTAAGCATAGCTTAATGAGAGCTATCAGATGTCCTTTGAGTGAATTCCTAAAGGAGCTTTATAAATGAAACTGTTGGGTAGGCCTTCATTTTAGGAATGGGCCATTAGTCATCTAATGTGCTATCTGATAGACTTCAATTAGCCCAGGACTGAAAATTGAGGTTTGATGTGAAACAAATTTTACCACGCTGATAGAGAGTTTGGACTTTCAGGCTGCTAGCACATGGGCATCCTCCACTTCTGGTAAATGTGTTTGGGAGCACAAATCACTTGACTCTGCTTCGATATTCACCAGGCCAGGAGTAACCTTTACATTTAAGAGCAATTTACATTTGCTGATCTCATAAGATAAAGAATCCAATAAAACAAAAACTATGAAAGTGCTATTAATCCTTTGAGAAGAAATGATGTAACTTCAAAGGAGGGCTATGTTGTCTTTATGACAGATTTTGGGTAGTGCCAGGTTAGCAAGTGCAAAGTTATTAAAATTGCTACAGATAGGGATACATACTTCCAACCACCAACTATTACATGATTCACTTCTTAGGATACTTTTAATAATTCTATAAACAATATTATTGTGCCCATAACAATGGGGTAAGATGGGTAATAATGTTGGAAGCTTTTGAATGGTTTTTATAGAAATAGCTGTAATATTTTGAAACAAAAGCAGAACCACTTTGAATTTCCTATCCTTTTTCACTGTCTTTGCTGAAAATAGATATTAGAGACAGAAAGAAGTAAAAGGGTGAAGACAGAAAAACACTTCTACAGAGAAATAAAAAAAAAAGCACTAAAATTGCAAAATAATACCCAACTTGGCAGAGTCTAAAACAAATATGTTTTAAATTTGGCCCTGGAAGATTTCTGTGGTATAATCCACTAAGAAAGACTGAGTAAAGGGCCATCTCCATTTAAATCCTTTCCAATGGCAACTGGAATTTGTGCTGTGCTGGCTTTAGTTAGATCTGAGGGAAGAATTAGGCCCATTTGTTTTTTAAAGAGATTTTAAGGCAGAAGACTAAGCCGGTGTACAAAAGATTTTGGATTGATAAAAATGTAATCATCTTTTTTGAAGCCAATAATAGTATCTATCTAGTTTGCAAGTATTTATTTTGAATTTGCAAGTTAAATGAGTTTTCTAGGGATGGAGTGAACAGGGGTAATGAGTGGCAACTCTGCCTGGGCTGGTCTAGGATAAAGTGGGTCTTAAGGAGCATCAGAGTGATGCTCAGTGATCTTTTGGAGTAGACTCTTGACAGACTAGCCATGATATTTTTGAAAGCATATTTACTAAAGAATATGATACATGCACACAGTTAAGAATACACAAACCTGAGCCTGAGACCTCAATATTATTAATTGTTCATTTCTGGAGATGACACAGACAATCCATTACAAGAAATAAACAAACTGCATTTTGCTGTGTGGATTTATATGAGGAAGCTTAAATGGCAAATAATGGATGATTCTAACAACTTCAGTACCTATTGAGAGCAAGAAATTGAGACATTCTCATCTAATAATAAATTATTCTAAAGTGCAATGTTGCTGAATGAATAGAAAGTGACCTTGAAATCAAGATCACTTTGGTTCTGAGAACCAAGGCATGATAAAGGTGAGGCTTATACAGTTTATGTACAACTGAGCTCCTGAGACCATGTGCATGTGTTCAAGAGACCCATTGTGCTGAGTTATTATTATTATTTGTCTCAGTGATGTGTTCTCATTACAGAAATTGTATACAATTCTTAGAGACTATCCCCTGACATGATGTTTTCCCTATGAGCAACGAACTAAATCCCCATGTATGTGTTGACAGGAAAATTCAAAACAAATTCCTTGAAGGAAGATCATGTCTTCTTCATCTTCGTGCATCTTGGGCCCAGGGATACAAACTACAGAGTTTCTAAACAAGTGGTTTAGGTCCGAGACCTGCCTGAAAATGAACCTCTATTCAGCAATGATAGCACAGCAAAACACACTGTTTTTATACTTTGATTGTGTGTTCCTTTAATATGAATCCAGAAGGTGCTGGGAGAGATTAACCAGGAGCCAGAGCTCCACCAGGCCTCCTTCTTTTGGTGCCTCCGAAGTACATGCAACATTCAACTTAGCCACTTAATAAAAGCTTGCTAATTGGAATGGACGTAAAATACACTATATATATTACACATACATTTTATTCATACATATAATATATATATTTTATACACACACACAGACACACACACGTACAGGAACCTATCATTTGTAAATATTACAACTCAGCTATTAGTGCTCGCTTTAATTCCTGCATCACACGCTGTTAGGAGTCAGTATCCTACCTCACTTTGTGTTGCTATTTCTCTCCTTATGTATATTTCTTTCTTTCTAAGCATAGTGGGTATGAAATCTTCTAGGGCATAAATGACCTTATATACAAATATAAAATTTTTGTTAATAATGATATTTGTAGACACAAAAAGACATCAGTACACTTCAGAATAGATCTACACTGTTTTTGCAATTGTGGATGATATGGCTTAATCTTTATATAGGAATATGGATGTACCATATATGTATTTCTATTATTTAAAGGGCATCATAGATGCTGAGCCACTGTGTATACTTACCAAGTGCTTTACTGACCCCATCAGCCTGATATGGTTTGGATTTGTGTCCCCACCCAAATTTCATGTCGAATTATAATCCCCAATGTTGGAGAAGGGGTCTGGTGGGAGGTGATGGGATCATGGGTGCAGATTTCTTCCTTGCTGTTCTCATCATGATGAGTGAGTTCTCATGAGATCTGGCTGTTTAAAAGTGTGTGGCACCTCCCCCTTCTCTCTCTTTCTCCTGCTCCAGCCATGTAAGACATGCTTGCTTCCCCTTCACCTTCTGCCATGATTGAAAGTTTCCTGAGGCCTCCCCAGCCATGCTTCTTGTACAGCCAATGGAACTGTGAGCCAATTAAACCTCCTTTCTTTATACATTACCCAGTTTTAAGTATTTCTTTATAGCAGTGTGAGAATGGACTAATACAGCCCCTAAAAGTGCTATGGCCTTAACCTTAACCAGCACTTACTCAAAGGATGGGCCACTGAGAGATTCTCACATGACTGTGGCCTGGCTTTTTATTTGAAGAAGGAATTGGTATTTACCTTAAGAATTGGGAAGGAAGGAAGGGAAGAACAGGTAGAAAGACAGGGAGATACAATTTCACTTTCTTTTCAGTGAAATAAACACCAGCTCAAAAATATTTCCACCATAAATCTCTGATTATTGAATATTAATTTCTGGTCTTGGCTTTACAACATCCAAAGGCATTTTCAATTACTATTCAAAATTCATACAGTTTTTCAGACCAAAATAGCTTTGGTTGAATCTAAATGTCAAATTTATTATATATTTTACTATACATTTTTTCCCCCTAGGACATGAGAAAGGAGCTGGTAGAGACAGGAAAAAACTTATCACATAATCAAATAACAAAAAGGTGTTGCATTGCCAAAAAATGTTTGGGAATTTCTTTTCTGGGCCATCCCACTTCCTTATTTTTGTTTCTAGACTGAAATGGTACACAGCATATTCCACTTCCTTTTTCTCTTAAAACCTGTTATAGTTTTGTTTAGTTTGAGGTCAGTCTAACCATGCCCCTCACTTAGAGGCTATATAACCTCAGCGTAGGAGGCTGAAATATTCTCCCTTCTGGTTGGCTGAGGGACACATTAACAAAAGCAGATACTTTAGTATTACTCTAGAATCAGAAGGAAAAACAATGTGAATTTTCTCAGTTTTCCAAACAGCAGCTCTGTGAAAGGAACACGTCCATGTAGCTTATTGGTATTAATTCCATAAAGGCAACCTAAAAATCTAAACTGGGAGCAATTATTGTAAAGCATCTAGTCATGTGAGTTTTATTGAATAATTTATTACTATTAAAACAAAAAAATTTTAAATTCTTTTAACGGTTAAAAAAATGGATATATGGTTTACTGATGGTAAACACTGAAGGACTGGTCTTTGCCTTGGGAATCTTGACAAAAGCTTCTGAAGCCATTTAAAAACCTGATGGATTAGGATGATCATTTTCCAGCCATTTGTTTTTTGGTGTTAATTGCTTTTAATCCTTAGAGACTTATCCATTAATCTGTTTCCTGGGGAAGAAGTTGAATCTTTGTGTCAAGTTTCTAAATCACCATTAAGAAATGCTAACATTAAAAATATTATCTCAGTGGCTGGCAAGATGGCCAAAAAGGAACAGCTCCAGTCTGCAGTTCCCAGCGAGATGAACATAGAAAGTGGGTGATGCCTGCATTTCCAGCTGAGGTACCCGGCTCATCTCACTGGGACTGGTTAGACAGCCGGTGCAGCCTACGGAGGGCAAGCTGAAGCAGATTGGGGCGTCGCCTCACCCGGGAAGTGCAAGGGGTTGGGGAACTCCCTCCCCTAGCCAAGGGAACCCTGGAGGGACTGTGCCGTGAGGAATGGTGCATCCCAGCCCAGATACTACGCTTTTCCCACGGTCTTTGTAACTTGCCGACTAGGAGATTCCCTTTGGTGCCTATGCCACCAGGGCCCTGGGTTTCAAGCACAAAACTGGGTGGCCATTTGGGCAGACACTGAACTAACTTCAGGAGCTTTTTTTTTTCATACCCCAGTGGCACCTGGAATGCCAGCAAGACAGACAGTTCACTCCCCTGGAAAGGGGGTGAAACCAGGAAGCCAATGCTCAGCAGATCCCACCCCCATGGAACCCAGCAAGTTAAGATCCACTGGCTTGAAATTCTCCTTGCCAGCACAGCAGTCTGAAGTCCACTTGAGAGCTCCAGCTTGGTGGAGGGAGGGGCGTCAGACATTACCGAGGCTTGAGTAGGCGGTTTTCCCCTCACAGCCTGAACAAAGCTGCTGGGAAGTTTGAACTGGGCAGGGCCCATTACAGCTCAGCAAAGCCGCTGTAGCCAGACTGCCTCTCTAGTTCCTCCTTTCTGGGAAGGGCATCCCTGAAAGAAAAGCAGCAACCCCAGTCAGGGGCTTATAGATAAAACTCCCATCCCCCCCTGGGACAGAGCACCTGGGGGAAGGGGCGGCTATGGAGGCAGCTTCAGCAGACTTAAACATTCCTGCCTACAGGCTCTGAAGAGAGCAGCAGATCTCCCAGCACAGTGCTGGAGCTCTGTTAAGGGACAGACTGCCTCCTCAGGTGGGTCCCTGACCCCCATGCCTCCTGACTGAGAGATACCTCCCAGTAGGGGTTGACAGACACCTCATACAAAAGAGCTCCAGCTAGCATCTGGCGGGTGCCCCTCTAAGATGAAGCTTCCAGAGGAAGGAACAGGCAGCAATCTTTGCTGTTCTGCAGCGTCCGCTGGTGATACCCAGGCAAACTGTCTGGAGTGGATCTCCAGCAAACTCTAGCAGACCTGCAACAGAGGGGCCTGACTGTTAGAAGGAAAACTAACAAACAGAAAGGAGTAGCATCAACATCAACAAAAAGGTTGTCCACACAGAAACCCCATCTGAAGGTTAACAACATCAAAGACCAAAGGTAGATAAATCCACAAAGATGAGGAAAAACCAGCGCAAAAAGCCTGAAAATTTCAAAAACCAAGATGCCTCTTCTCCTCCAAAGGATCACAACTTCTCACCAGCAAGGGAACAAAACTGGATGGAGAATGAGTTTGATGAATTGACAGAAGTAGGCTTCAGACGGTGGGTAATAACAAACTCTGCCAAGCTAAAGGAGCATGTTCTAATGCAATGCAAGGAAGCTAAGAACCTTGGAAAAGGGTCAGAGGAATTGTTAACTAGAATAACCAGTTTAGAGAAGAACATAAATGACCTGATGGAGCTGAAAATCACAGCACAAGAACTTCATGAAGCATACACAAGTATCAATATCTGAATTGATCAGGTGGAAGAAAGAATATCAGAGATTGAAGATCAACTTAATGAAATAAAGCGTGAAGACAAGATGAGAAAAAAAAGAGAATGAAAAGGAATGAACAAAGCCTCCAAGAAATATGGGACTATGTGAAAAGACGAAACCTACATTTGATTGGTGTACCTGAAAGTGACAGGGAGAATGGAACCAAGTTGGAAAACACTCTTCAGGATATTATCCAGGAGAACTTCCCCAACCTAACAAGGCAGGCCAACATTCAAATTCAGGAAATACAGAGAACATACAAAGATACTCCTCAAGAAAAGCAATCCCAAGACACATATCATCAGATTCACCAAGGTTGAAATGAAGGAAAAAATGTTAAGAGCAGCCAGAGAGAAAGGTCGAGTTACCTACAAAGGGAAGCTCATCAGACTAACAGTGGATCTCTCTGCAGAAACCCCACAAGCCAGAAGAGAGTGAAGGCCAATCTTCAACATTTTTAAGAAAAGAATTTTCAACCCAAAATTTTATATCCAGCCAAACTAAGCTTCATAAGTGAAGGAGAAATAAAAGCCTTTAGAAGACAAGCAAATGCTGAGAGATTTTCGTCACCACCAGGCCTGCCTTACAATAGCTCCTGAAGGAAGCACTAAATATGGAAAGGAAAAACCAGTACCAGCCACTGCAAAAACATACCAAATTGTAGAGACTATTGATGCTATGAAGATACCGTATCTACTAATGGGCAAAATAACCAGCTAATATCATAATGACAGGATCAAATTCACACATAGCAATATTAATTAACCTTAAATCATATTAACCATTAAATCATTCTCAGCAAACTAACACAGAAACAGAAAACCAACACCAACAGAAAACCAAACACCACATGTTCTTACTCTTAAGTGGGAGTTGAACAATGAGAACACATGGACACAGGAAGGGGAACATCACACACTGGGGCCTGTCAGGGGATGGGGGGCTAGGGGAGGGATAGCATTAGGAGAAATACCTAATGTAGATGACGAGTTGATGGGTGCAGCAAACCTCCACAGCACGTATTTACCTATGTAACAAACATGCACTTTCTGCACATGTATCCCAGATCTTAAAATATAATAAAAATAATTATTTCATCTTATCTGCTTATAGTTGTGCTTATAGTTGAGCACTCTCAAGGGGATAAATTTAATTTTAAGGAGCTTAATTTGAACTATGGCTACTGTGAGTATGTAATTGTGTACTCTTAAAACTGTCAGCCTTAAAGTGAGGATGAAGAGCTGGTTAATCATTTGTGCTTATCTAGTACCTTCCAGGCAATAACACTGAGCTCCAACATTTGCACCTAGAGTAAGAGCCTAAGGTGCAAATCATGAAGTGGTTGCTAATTATTCTCTCCTTGTTAATAATAATGAAAAAATGACACAAAAAAGATGTTCACTGTCTTGCCCAAGGTACGAAGTCAGGAATTGGAGGAGTAAATATTTTGAACCTAGGGAGTTTTGCTCCAGAGCTTGCCCCCTTGATCCTGTGATAGACAGTCCCCTAAGACTAGGTGTTAGAGTCGCCATAATCTAAACCACCAAGTTGGAAGATAACCCCAAACAAATATTTTTAACAATACTTTTAAGTCATACATTCTAATGCAAATATTTTAAATTTGATAATAAAAATGTAAGGAAGAAAATCATAGCACAGATATACACTGATCACTGGTATAGTTATATTATTCTGTTAGCTGCTCTGAGAGATACAACTATACATCAAATATGGTTCCTGCCATCTAGGAAATTATAATTTAGTAGCAGAGGAAAGTATATATACAATGTAATGTAATATATGACAGTTATGTGAGTGTGTATACATAATACACTTCAGAAGCTCCGGAGAGATATCACTGTTGATCTACAGTAGATGACATCTAAACTAAAATTTAAAATGTTGATTGACAAGATATTATATAAGGTTTTGACTTTCATGTGAAATTCTTTTAGGCTGCAAGAATGTTTTAAAGATTTTTGTGTTGGCAAGTTACCTGTTCAAGTGAATTTAAAAACGCAAGAAAAATCACTTTGAAAATTGTAAAAGTTGGTAGATATAAAGACATTTTCAGTGATGATGAGAAAGTGATAAAGTTGTTTTAAAAAGCAGTTTGTAGAGTTCTGAAAGAACCTAAAACAGAACTATCATACCACCCAGCAATCCCATTACTGGCTATATACCCAAAGGAATATAAATAATTTTATCAAAAAAACACATGAACTTGTATGTTCATCACAGCACTATTCATAATAGCAAAGACATAAAATCAATCTAGATATCCATCAATGTTGGACTGGATAAAGAAAATGTCATACATGCACACTAGAGTACTATGCAACCATTTAAAAAAAACCAAAATCATGTCCTTTGCAGCAACATGGGTAGAGACAGAGTCCAATATCTTAAGTGAATTAATACAGGAACAGAAGACCAAATACTGAATGTTCTCACTTACAAGTGGGAACTAAACATTGAGTACACATGGACACAAAGGTGGGAACAATAGACCCCAGGGCCTACTTGAGGAAGGAGGGAGGAGGGAAAGTGAGGGTTGAAAAATTACCTATTGGATACTATGCTCACAACCTAGGTGATAAAATCAATTGTACAGGAAACCCCAGAAACACACAATTTACTCATGTAACAAACCTGCACACATACCCTTGAACCTAAAATAAAAAGTTGAAACAGAAAGATAAACAGTAGTAGCCAAGTCTCAGCCAATTACAGGCCACCAGCTCTTCAAACCAGTTTCAAATAAGGCAAACACCCAAATAGGGCAAATACAGAAACAGCTGTAACAAATCTAGCTGTTTCAGTACATCACAGGTCACTTTCCTTTTTCTGTTCATAAATGTTCTACAACACGTGACAACCCTGGAGTCACCCTGAACTATTCTGGTTCTGGGGACTGCCCAAGCAGAGAATCATTCACTATTCGATTAACTTCTGTTAAATTAAAACAATTTAATGGAAGCCGGCATGCAAAATGAATTGAAGGAAGACAGAACATTAGAGACACAGGTGAGCAGAAACAAGGTAATGCCAGGCCTGAATTAGAATGCTGGAATAGAAATGAATACCATTAGGTGAACAAGCAAGAATGAGAAAGAAGGGCAATTAAAGTGAAACTTCAGCATGATTGTATATTATTCTTTAGCCGTATTCAACTGCTCTGGTAGGTGATGAATAAGATTTAGTTTGAATTGGGGTATTGCAAAAGGGTACAATACAAGGCTAGAAGGGTAAGAGAATTAAGAGTGTATGCAAATGAGTAGTCTCAGGGATGAAGTCTGAAATCTGTGTTGGGTTAGGGAAAAAGTGAGGAGGGCGCAAGGGGGCAGTTGGTGGAGTCAATAGTTTGGAATGCAAGTGGAACTAGATGACTGTTGCAACGGGAGATCTAAAATAGTTCAACTGGAATTTTAAGAAGTGGTGGCATGGTCAGAGTAAGTTGTTTGGGATCAGTGTTTTGGATATAGTATGTGCCAAAGTCTAATGTATATACCATTCACTCATCTGGGTCAGAAACAGACCTGGTATGCTCAGATGTTGGGTTTCCAAAATGATAATAGTAATGGTAGTGGGGAGGAAGAAAAGCGGCCAGGTGTTCAGGTTTTAAGGAAATAAGGGAAAATGGCCTGCATATAAATAGTGTTAAAAAGAAACTGAGAAACACATACAAATATAAACAGTTTATTTGAGCAAACATTGATTCATAAATTGGGCAGTTCCAAACCAGAAGTGGTTCTGGAGCTCCACTGAGGAAATGCAAGAGGGAGGCTTTTATAGAACAAACACAGAAGTAAAAAGAAAAAAACAGAACAAAGATTAATTACAGTGATTACAGTTACACAGTTGCCTTATTTGGTCTACCCTATTGGAAAGTCCCTAGTTATACACTTATAAGTTTTTTGGCTGTTTCTGATTGGTTGAGCTTAAGTTCATTTTTCCTTTAATGTAGGCATTTATAAGAAATATTAATAGCTCAAGTTAAGTATGCCTATGCTTAAAAATCATCCAAGGTTTGAATTACATATGAGGCCTTACTGGCTTTGTCTGTGCAGTAATTCTTCAGGCCTGATCTCCATTTTAATTTATTTTAGCAGTAGGAAACAGTATCTAAGTAAGTGGATAGTGAGTGGTTAGTCTTATGAATCTTAAAAGAACAGGGACATCTTGAAGGAAGAATGGGGAGACATCATTTTCTAGAGAAACAATAAGGTATTTATTCTCAGTAATGTAGAAATATTTTAAATGGCCAAAATGAACAAGGTATCTACTCGGGTCAGAGGGCAAATTTTTCCATTGAAGGATAAACATGCAATGTTAATGGGGAAAATTTGAATGAAAAACTTTAATAATAGAGAACATTCACTGTATACTTATGATTTCTGTGTGCTATCTTGCAACAGTATTGCAATTTACGTGTTTATTACCTCATTGGCAGTGGAGGAAAATACAGCTTAGAGAGGTTGAGAATATCCCCAAGGTCGTCACGAAACTTGTAGTGGGAAGGGCTGTATTTAAACCTAGGTCTGTCTGATTACAGAGACTGTGCTTCTTTCACTTCATTGTTATCATTTATTCATTCAACTTATTTATGTGGAATAAAAATATATTAGGAGCTTAACACTAAAAGACAGAGTCCCATTTTCCTATTTTCTAAAAAGTCAATATATTAATTTTCATTGGACACTATATCTACAAGTCATTGTAGGAAATGAAAAATATAAAAGAAATCTCTCTCCTCTAATTGTTTATTATCTATTTATGAGTATACCTACAACTATACACATAAACTGTATACATAAAGATAACGATATGAAAGTCAGCAATTCAGTACTAAATGGGTGTTACAAGCAATATGCACAGCATAAAAGTGTGCAGAGGAGAAACTACCATGGGTAGTTGGGATATTGGGAAGGCTTCATGAAAACTGCAGAACTCCAGCTGGACTGTGAAGGATGGAGTGGATACAAAATGATAGGAGTGAGGAAGATATTTATTTGAGGGAGAATTGAAAATAGGTAGCAATGACGGAAATACTTAAAATCATTCTCCTTTGTGCAAATCTCCCGGCCCAAAACCCCTGAACCTCCCCCTACCCAAAATACAACCAAATAAATGTCCTCACCTATACCCAATTTCAATATGGCTGTGTAGGAATTTTATATGGGAGAGAAGTAGGGCATTGGAACTGGAACAGTAAGTTGGAACCATATCATGAAGGGTCTGAAATGCAAGAATAAATATTCAGACTCCTAGAGAACTTTGAAGACTAAACTGAATGGAAATTTGCAGTAATATCCCCTAGGGAACTCATAATACATTTCCGATTATGGGAGTGCAGAAATAAGAAGTTTAGTATCAACTCTGGCTCTCCTTCCCTGCTAGGGCTAAATGTTAATATTATCCAAGGATGTTTCCAAGTGAATCTCTGCCAGTTCTCTCTTTCCAAGTCACATCTCAGAGTCTCTTCACTTGAATCAAGCTACTCCCAGCTTCTGCACACATCTGGTCCAACACTACTTTGGGATATGTTTTGCTAAGGTTGCTGTTCTGCCTGGAAGGCCCTCATTCCTCAGCTGCATGACCCGAGGTTTCCTTCCTCTAAGACCTTGCTAGCGGCTCCTAGATGCCTTCCAAACCAAATTCTCTTCTATGAGATCAGCTCTTAGCTTTGTATTCCCTGGCACTTATGGAGTATGTTATGGAGGTATGTTATTTTGGCCTTGCTTATGCTGTCTATTTGTTGTCTGTGTGTTACTCTTGTCTTCCTTGGACAGTCAAAGACCTTGTCTCCAGTTTTTTCGTATTCTTCAGTGTAATTAGTGTAATGCTTTGAAGATAAGAAAAGAATATAAAGAAATGCCCTTAAACTTAGCTTTGTTTCACAGCATTAGGCTATGTTATATTTGGTTGAGGATAACAATAATAGCTAACAATACTGTGTCGAATTGAACTATCATTTATAATTTTTTGGATCTGATTAAAAAATAAGATTTTAAAAAAGTTCTGCATCTAAAATGTCATTGTGGTTTGGCAAAAATCTTTTTGTTGTTGTTATTATGAATCTTATCTTAACAATCCTATCTTGGAAAATCTAATGGAAACTTCACTGAGTCTTATCGGGGACATTTATAACTCCTTACAATTTATTTTCTATCTTTAGTTTAAGACAAACAAAAAAGTTATGCATTTTTTTTTTATCTGTAGCCTCTTTAGAAAGAAGTAAGTTGCAAAGCCTAGGTGTTTTAGTAATCAGTTTTCCTGATATCCCGTTTAATTAATGTTTGCCTTCTGTAAAATTTTAAAGCCTAATATCCCTAGAAGGCCCCTTCAAAGTGCAACTTGTACCCTAATAAAACTCCAATCATCCTACAAATGAAAATTTAAAGTGGTACTAGAGTTGATCTCCATGCTCTCAGTCTCTCCTCTTTCCAGGATAGTCCTTCTTTTCCTTCCTTTTAGCACATTTATTAATAAGTTCATGAAAGGGTTTCAAAAAAATTTTTAAGTATAATGAAGGAGAGATCTCCACTTAGTGTTAGCTTGGTTAGGTAAGTGGCTAGAAAGATGTTAATACTTGATTATCTGTATTTAAGGACATTTGCACTTTTGAACCTGAGAGAGTATTTTTATTATAAGTATGTTTACAATTTTTTTATTTTACTTTTATAAAACTATAAAATTCTAGAGTCAGAAAGGGGCCTCCTACATAATCTACATAATCTCCTACATAATCTCCTACATAATCATTTTAAAGAATAAAGATAAACTAATAGACTCATCTAGAGAGATTCAGCCAGTTAGCTTCAGAGCTAAAAGTGGCATTTTCTTTATTAAAACACACAGAGACACACAAGCACACACACATACATGCTGACTAAACTTCTACCACAACCCAGGCCAGTATGAGCCCTAGGGTTACAATATTTTTATGATATGCCTGGCTCTGCAAACTTACAAGGAGTGGGGGAAGATTATATATATATAAGATTTTATATATATACACACACACACACACACACACACACACACACACCTATATAAACGATCAATTATACAGTATAAATTTTTATAATAAATCCATGTGAAAAGTGGTATGGGAATTGAGAAGGGATTTAAGGGAAGTCTTTAGAGAAACAGTTATCTCTAAAGGCTTAGTTCAACCGAGAATCTTCTAAACTGAGAGTAAGAAGACATCAGAAATTGAGGGCATCAAAAACAGAAGAAATAACATGAATGAAAGCTATGGAGGTATTAAAAGCTGCATAGCTCATTCAAGGAATGGTCACAAGTTTCATCTACTAATGGGTTGGAGAGGGACGTGAAGGAGAAGAAAGTGGCATAAAACGATGAGGAAAAGGTAAGTTAGAGCTGGCTTTTGGGTGACTTTGTTCACTATGCAGCCGCTTTCAAATTTTGTACTTTAGAGACATTGAAATTTTTTAAATAACATGATCAGCGTATCAAAAAGGTGAATTGTGAGCATATGGAGCATGGATTAGAGGGAATATGTTATAGAGATAGTTCATGTGAGAAATGAGCAGAATCTCAACTACGACAGTGTCAGAAGAACTAGAGGACAAGTGATAGGTTCAAACCTTTCAGATGCAAGGTCAATAAGTGTCAATGACTGAATAGATTTAGAAGGTGAGAGAAAACCTGAAATTAGCTTCACATTGGATCAACAGGTACCATAAAAAAGATATGAAACTTGGAGGAACTCATTTCAATATTTTGTATATTAAGCCACATTGACAATGGTTACTTCACTAATTTTTTAAAAACTTAGCTAAAAGTTGTCTTCTTTGATATAGGTTTTGTCTAATACAAGTTTTCTTAAGGATAATATTTACACTCGTTTTATATTTTAGTAGTAAAAATTAAATTGAAATTTCAATGTTTAACAATAAATACGAACAAACAGGAATTTTCAATGTATTATGTAATTAGTTTTTGAAAGATCAGATTTCAAAAGAGACTAAGAATTATAAATCTGTAGGTTTATGAATGTTTGAACTTCAGAGGGACATTTTGAGAAACTTGATGTCTTCTTTATTCATATATTTGCATACATACATAAAAATGAGTTATATATATTCATACATGTGTATATAATTTATTTATATGTATGTTATTTAGGACTTATAAGACTTGGAATGTGTCAAGAATTTTTCAAAATGGTTTCCAAATATTGGCTTATTTGTTCTGTATAATAATAAGATAGTATTATTATTACCCTCAGTTTATAATTATGGAAATTGAGGTGCAGTTTCGGAAGCTTAACCAAAGTGACATAGCTAGTAAGTGTCAGAGTCTGACTTTGAATCCTAATGGCCTGGCTCTAGAGTCCTTGATGAGTTTTTTTTTTTTTAACGTAAGAAACTATCATTTGCCATTGCTCTTGTATATGAATATTCAGGTACAGAGCGAATCAACCTTTAATAGTTTGGTTGCTTAAAAACTCTATGTATAAAAGGGAAACTAACATAAAGGTTAGACAAAACTTTGAACAAGAATGTGTTGGATCAATACATTATTCAGTAAATTGATAAGAGAAACATAGTTTGATAATTGAATCTGTAATACAGTTATGGGTCTTTGATGACTCAATACTTCATAGACTGACAAAAGAATATTTATCTACATGTGCAATTTTTAAATTTCATTTCTATAAAAAAGAATGAGAGCAGGCACAGAACTTATAGGTATTATTTAGCATTTGGAAATTAAAGTTTGCCACATACATAAAAATACTTAGGTTTGATAAAGACAAGTTAGTAACATTTTGATATTAAAAATAATTTATTTAGAAATAAAATCTGCAATTGTTAAAGTATCTTTTTCCCCCCAGGAAATAATCCACTTAGACTTTGAGGAGTTAATGGCAGGAGGAAGGTAAAGGGAGTATATCTTTAGTGGGTTGTGTTAGGAAATAAAAAGGGCTGTAATAATAACTATACTCTTTCCTTTCAGCTATTATGGCCTCTTGAAAGTTGCCATCTACACTTGGGGTTCTTACATAGTCTTATTTTATTCAGGCTGCTTTTCCTGACTGTTCTAAACAGTCCTGCTGCTTGAAAGCCTCTCTCTCATTAGACTCTAATGGGAGCATCTCAGGAAATACATGAAACTCATACTAAAAGGGCATTAAATAGATGAATGAACACAGTGCTTATGTCTTTAACCTAGGTCATTTGGAATCAGATTCTGGGCTGTTCGCATTATACTATGGCTCATTCATGGATGACTCATATTAAAGAACTGTCATGATTCTCATTTCTGCTACCCCGTATTGATTAAGTTTCAGAGGTTCATCTGAGAAAAATGACTCAGGGCATGAGAGGACAAAGGTATTCATTCCAGGTATAGATCTAGCTGGGGAAGGTATTTTAGTGAACTTGGAAAAATGCTTGAATGCATTGCAATATATTCCATTACAGGGGGATGAAGACTGTATCTGGTCAGGTTGGTCAGGTATTTACATAAAATTTTCCTTCCTCTAAAATTTTATCCCCTCCCCTGCAAATAACACAAACACATTCACTGACTGTGTTCTATTTATTGCATTGCAAAGATCTGGGATAATACATATACATTCTTCTCAATTTTTATGAAGAAAAAAATCTTGAGCTGCTTCTTAGTATGGGGTAAGAGTCCCACCACCTATATTCTAACCTTCAATTCAACACTAATTAGCCCGATAATCTTTTTTTTTTTTTGAGACAAAGTCTCATTCTGTCACCCAGGCTGGAGTGTAATGGCATGATCTCGGCTCACTGCAGCCTCCGGCTCCTGGGTTCAAGCGATTCTCCTGCCCCAGCCTCCCAAGTAGCTGGGATTACGGGTGCACGCCACCACACCCGGCTAATTTTTGTATTTTTAGTAGAGACGGGGTTTTACCATGTTGGTCAGGTTGGTCTTGAACTCCTGACCTTGTGATCTGCCCACCTCGGCCTCCCAAAGTGCTGGGATTACAGGCGTGAGCCAACGCGCCTGGCCATTAGCCAGATAATCTTGATGAAAATTCCCTACTCTCCTGTTTCTTATCTACAAAAAGATATAATACTATGTCTCCTGCTCCCCAAGATGATTATAATCATTAAAGGATGTAGTCAACACATATTCCAAGAACGTCTTGGTTTTTCTGAGTTGCTCTGTCCTCTTGATTCTGCTAACTGATGAAGAAAAAACTGAAAGTGAGAAATGGAAAGAGAAAATGAAATTTGTGTTTGTGGGCTATGTGGTGCCTGTTTTTTACATTTAAAAGATAATGTATTAGTGATGTATTTAGCTTTTCACACTGATTTTTTTTTTCTCATAATGAATTGGGCCAGCTAATTCAAATTGTGAAACTTATCCATCATAATAGATCAAGTTTGTTCCTAGAATATTGAACTGGGGTTATCTTTCATTGACTCTGCAGGAAGCATTATGACATAGTTTCTAGAGGTATAAAACAAGTGAAAGATAACAATGGCAACATAACAGATGCTAGAATAATACCATTTATGAAAGGGCTTTCGCAACCTTTACCTTGCTGAATCCACACAACTATCCTGGGAGGTAGGGGTCATTATTATTTCCATTCCATAAACAGGGAAACGGGCCAAGACAGATAAACTTCCTCAGCATCACACAGCGAGGAAGGGACAGCTGTGACTTTGACCTAGGTCATTTGGAATCATATACTGGGCTCTTCCCACTATACTACATTTCATTCTGCCCAAAACAATTCTTTTTAGTTAAAACAAAAGAGATGTCATCAATTTTTTTTTTCCTGTTGGTTCCCAGGCCCAGAACTGAAGCTGTTAACAATGAGATAGCCATCTCAGGGAGGATAAAACTTGTAGGTAATAACAGAATGGATAACATTTCCAGAGCACTTATTTCATGCCAGATATTGGTATAAGGACTTTGCACATTTTAATTATTTTAATGCTTATACAAAACTTGAACCCCAATATATTATATTCCTCTTCCCATCCCATAGGCATGCAAATTAAATAACTCACTTATTCCTCTGCAATGAGTTAGTTGAACATCTGAATTTGAACCTAGGGAGCCTGGCTTCAGAGCTCCTAGCATAATCACTTGCACTTAGCCTCTCCCACAAGCCTGCATCAGTTACATTCTGGGGGCATCCTGGCCTTACAGTACAGGGAAAAGGCCAGACCGTCAGACAGAGTAGGCACAAGGAGACTAGGGAGAAAGAAATTGTCCATTGACCAATGTTGAAAGGTGAGAGGGGAAAAGAGAGGTTTAGCAAGGCAGAATAGGTTAATCTTTTCATGATAAACTGTTGGCATCAGGTAGGAAGCTTTGCTGCTTGGCTAGGCACAGGACATGATTCTATTTCCTAAAAACTCTGGGCCAGAACCAGGTAGTACACAATCCCAGAGATACAAAGGAATCAAGTGGTGGGTCTCACTTGACTAGACCACGGTGGAGTAAGCCAGGGACCTGATTGTTGGAAGGGAAATGAAAGGTCGTATCTTACAAGCAAACAAACAAAAACAAAACAGTGCAAGAGCCTATGTACTGGCCCTAGGGCACCAAATCATAATAGGATGATCAGCATGCAGCACAGGTTTGTACCTCAGAACCCCTGAGTGAGACAGAGGCTGCCACAATCAAGGAGATTGGTCTCTAAGAATAGTGTGTGCTCTATCTCAATACAATAAATCCAGATAAAAAGATAAAGATAGCTACTCTTTGAACTTTTGGTTCCCAGTTTGCAATAGTACCCTTCCCATTTAATTTGTAAAGAATAAAATGAGTCATCATCAATATTATTGAAAGAAAGGGCTTCTTAAATTAGTAGGGATTAATTTACTAGGAATAAAGTTGAATTTATTCAAAGGCAAGGATCAGCAAGGACGTGGTGGGAGAAATAGCTACAGCTATTAGATTAAGTGTCTAAGACTCTTTCTGATGTTACCTCCCCTAGGACATTTTGCTGAATCCCCCATGGCTGATTTTATGAACTCTGACTGCAATAACTTTGCATTCTAGGCACACTTACTGCTTTGCACCATAATTAGTTTTTGCTCTTCTTATCCATTTTAGGACTTTGGTTGACGATTGAGTTATTCACAATTAGTTCGTGTCACATAATCATCAGTGGTCTACAAAGACCCCACACACATTTTATTTATCTATCTATCTATCTATCTATCTATCTATCTATCTATCTATCTATCTAATTCATTTTTTCAACAGTCTGTACTCCCACGTCCCTCCACATCATAGGCTGTCATTTTAACGTGTTTCCATGTATCCTTTAATTTGTTTGCTAAATGGGCATCATTGCTTTGTGTGAATGTATTTTAATTTATATGTATGGTATTGTTATAGATTATTTTGTTTCTTCCTTTTAAGCTTGCTCAGCGCTATGTGTTTTAAAGGTATATCTGTTATTTTGTTACATCTAGTTCTTTGCTTCTAACTGTGGCAAAGCATCCCACAGTGTGCTTCCACACTGAGACCTATATTGCCTGCAACTTATTGCTGACTTCAAAAGGGCTGAGCTGAACATCTTGGTGTATGGACCCCGGAGAGCTTAGTGAGAATTCCTCTTACATAAATACCAGAAGACAGATTGCTCATTCATTGCAATTTGATTTCCTATCCGCTCTCCAGAACGATGTGCTTTTCAATTCATGTGTTTGTCTAGACTATACATTTCTTGAAGGCAGGCAAAATTGTCTTATTTCTTATAATATTATGTCTGCATTGTGGAGGAAGTGGTTACTGCATATTTATTGAATACACAAATGGGACCAGATAGTCTAGTTTTTTAAATTTCTAAAGGCAACTAGCATGGTGGTTTATAAATGAAATCCATATTGCACAGTTTGCCTACAAGGAGAGTCCTCTTTCAGTTTACCAGTGAGGGAAAAGGAAACACACACACACACACACACACACACACACACACACACACACACACACACACTATTTAAAAGCTGCCAGAGCTTAGGGACTCTGTCCTGTCTTTGAACTGCTGTTTCCACACAGGAGTGGAAGTGCTTTCTATTATTCTAGTAAAAAGGACATGCTCTGTGGGGCTTCCCATAATTGTTCCAAGAGCCAACAAACTGGATTTCCAATACCACTTCTCCCAGAAATCAACAATGTTTCCTCTCTCACTCTACCTTCCGGTTAAAAAAAAAAAAAAAAGTTCCTGTTTGTGATGAACAGGGGTCAGATTTCTCCGTGGGAATGATCGTAAAGAATTAACATCCTTCTCCAGACAATGTCACAGTGTCACGGAGCACGTTTTACCTTCCCCGTAGGGCCCCCACGTGGAATGGGAACAGCCTGGGATATCCATCAGGGGATGACAGACTTATGGCACCATCACAGGTCAATGCCAGACCAATTAGAAGATGAACATTGGGGTCTATTTAAAATAAAATGATACAGGTTCCTGATATGAAATCAAGGCTGCAGGTGTTAGTAAGTAGCATGATTGCTTAAAACAGTACTTAAGTATTACAAAGCATTAGTCTAAGATCTAAAACAATCTAGTTAATAAATATATGTATTTTTTTCAATTATCCATGCCTAGGAAAAACTAGACAAGAATCAAAATCATAAAATCAATCATTCAGTGTGATGTCTATTTTTTAAATTTCCTACCATGTTTTCATCTTATATAATATTGAAAATTTAACTTTTTATTCAGTGTACAAAATATTTTACCTGAAGCAGAAAGAGAAAATGTTTAATAATAAAGTGGCAGTATAAAATGTAGCATCAATAACTGACCATTTTCATTTCATACTGTGAGCTTGAGAGCACCTCGGAAATGAAAAACCTATATTCCAGAAGTGGCCTTTGTCAAAAGGCAAAGTGGTCTTAGACTTTGTGCCTCTGCACAGGCCTTCTGCATCTGTAAAGAAAGGAGGATATACTGGACAATATAAACTGCATTCTTTTGGATTTGATAAAGTCCTGGAAATTTCACTAAATCTTACTTGTTTCCTATCAGAGGGATTGGGTCAAACCAAACATCTGACCAAGAATTTTGCATTAGTTCCAAAATTACAGCGATTTCCAGGAAAGCTCAGTGAAGGATAAGGAGTTTTAGTTTTCTCAACGTCAGCAGGTTATATTTTCCAAGAAAAGTATTATAACACATAGCAAAAATAAAAATAAATGTGGAGAATCCTCTACAGTGATGGGCACAATTAAATTACAAACAAAGGACAGCTTTCCCAAAATGTATGGTCATATTCTTTACAAACATCCCTTAATGAGAACTGGCTGACCACCTGATCAAAATGACCTTTAACAAGAAATACCTCAAAGATGTCAACTGACACATCATTAATCTCTGAAGTTATGATTAGTCATCACATATTATTTGGTAGTGGTATTAGAGGGAAGTGCATCAATATTAATAACAATGGCTAATGCTTACTGAGTGGTCGCTGCAGTGTACGCAAAATTCTAGGTTGTTTGTATATATATTGATTCATTTAATCCTCACAAAAACTATGAAATGGCTGGTAATATATTTATTTTAGAGATGAAGAATATGAGGCATAGTAAAGATAAGGAATATGTTCAGAGTTTACAGCTAATAGGGAATGGAGCTGGAAGTCAACTCAGTCCTCTAGCTTCAGAGTCCATGCTCTTTTTCATAATGGCATAATAAATACATCTCAAAAAGGGCTTTAAATTTTGAAGAATTCCCCTTCCTTCTTTCTTCCCCATCTTCCTATCCCCAAACTCTACCCTTTCTTTCAGCAAGTGTAATTTAAACACCAGTAAGTGCTAGATAATTCTACATATTGAGAATTCTAAGGTAAATCAAATAAGATCCCTAATCATCAAAGTGTTCACTACTCAGTAGGATAAATAGATTCAACTGCAAGTTAAGATGATACATTATAATAATAACTACAATGGAAAAGCCCAGTTGGCCCAAGAAGCCTGGGAAAGAGATTCCAGAGACAATACTTAACCTGTCTTTGAAGAATGATTACCAGGTGTAGATTGAAGGGATAAGTCATTGTCAATAGGAGAGGCAGTGTGTGTAGAGTCCTAGAAGTTCACATTTAAAGGCACTTCTCTGGAGTAGCAAATACTTTAATGTGACTTCAGTGCACAAACCTGAAAACTGAGAATATATAAATGACAGCTATGCACTCTGTAGATGTGTGGTTTCTCCTTGGTCACATAACAATCATCACCTTGCAATATTTTTAAATTGTGTGTTCCTTTACAATTTAGATGATAAATATGCTGTGAAGAAATCAATTCTGCTCACTATTCAAATCCATTGTTTGCCAACACTCACATTCACCTTTGTGGTTCTCATGATAACTCGTGAATATTACCATTACTGTCATTTTACAGCGCAGCACCTGGAAGCTCAAAGAGATAAGATGGCTTGGCGAAATTGACATTAACACCAAATAGTGGCATCAATGTTTTAACTCCTGATTCAGTTCTGTTGCCCAACACCAAAATCTGTGGCTGGATCATTGCTTTTAACCATAAGTTACCAAAACACTAAGGTAGGCAGAGCAGAAAAACAACAGGATTGTGTCTCTAATGCATCAATAAGTCATTGTACCAGATTTATATGATTTGCAGATTTCTTGATATTTAACAAGAATAAATTTGTTTAAAAATAAATAAATAAAATACAAAGTATCCGGTCAATTAAAAGTGAGATATCACTTCATTTGATGTCTTGCTTTAATTTTCTGCAGTAATGGCACTTTTTATTCTGACAGTTCTCTGCCAAAATATTTTTATTAGCTAGCTATATATTTTTAAACACCTTTCTTTATTTTTATTTTTATTTTTGAGACAGGGTCTCACTTTGTTATCCAGGCTGGAGTGCGGTGGTAGAATCATTGCTCACTGCAGTCTTGACCTCCTGGGCTCCAGTTATCTTTCCACCTCAGCATCCAAGTAGCTGAGACCACAGGAGCATGTCAACATGCTTGGCTAAGTTTTATTTATTTTTTTGGTAGAGACAAGACAGGGTCTCACTATGTTGGACAGACTGGTCTCAAACTCTTGGGGTCAAGTGATCCTCCTGCCTCGGCTTCCCAAAATTCTGGGATTACAGGTGTTGCGCCTGGCCAAAAAATCTTTCTTTAGAAAAAATAAAAGGCAATGCAAGGGGAATGTCAGTTGGGAGATGTTTTAGTCAGCTTGGGCTGCCGTAACAAAATACCGCAGACTGAGTAGTTTAAACAGTAGAGATTTATTTCCCAGTTCTGGGGTCTGGAAAGTCCAAGATTAATACAGTAGGGTAGGTTTCATTCTGAGGCTTTTTCTCTTAGCTTTTAGGCAACTGCCATCTTGTAGGGTGCTCACATAACCTCTTCTTTGTACATAGATGGGAAGAGAGTGAGAGAGGTTCACTCTCTCTTTATAAGGGCACTAATCCCATTATGAGGGGCCCATCCTCATAACCCCATTAAAATCTAATTACCTCCCAAGAGCTGCAGTCTTCAAATACCTCCACATCAGGGGTTAAGGCTTCAACAAGAATTTTGAGAGGACATTTTTCAGTCCATAATAAGAGACAATTTTTCTTGAGTCTTTTGCATTTTTGCATGTTTTTATAAGCAGTGGCACTGACAGCTTTTTTTCCAGACTATCCTTTCAAAGGTGTTGCTAAAGCAAACAGCTTTAGAAGACAGATAATGTCTGCCTTTGGAGAAAAGGGCAGTTTTGTTTTTTGTGCAGTTTAATAAAGATAATGTCTCTCTCTGAGACAAGATTAAGCAGATTTGCTTGCAGTCCATTATAAAGGACTGAGGTTTCCTAAACTTGAGATTTCTCTTCTGTAATACAATCCACTGCATGTGCATGTGTTACAGCCTTTGCTTTGTCACTCTCTGGGAATTAGGAGTAAAGAAATTAGTGAAATAAAATGCTGATATCTTGACTACTGCTACTGCTGTGAGCAATAAACTGTCTTTTCTCTCACTCAGGTCTCATTTCTTTCGCCAGCACATCTACATCTATGGCAACCTAATTTGTAGTTTGCAAGTAGGGTAAAATCTCAGACCTTTCACAGTTCTTGACAATATCTAAACCACAAAACAAACAAAAAATACAAAATAAACCAGAAAACTATGTGTGATCAGGCAATAAAACTTTACATATGAATTTATAAATAACCCCTAGGCTAAAATAAAGTATGGTATTGGTACTGCATTACATATTTTAATGTTCCTATTGTTATTATATCCAAGGCTTTCATGTAACATTACAGTCATAATATCTCAAAATAGTCCAGAGTCATGCCAATTTATTCAAGAAGGCCTCATTGTAAGGAGGACAACTTCTCATCCATGGAAATAGCTTGAGTATCAAGAAAATGCTTCACAGATTTTTAACGCAAACTAATTCAATGAAGCAGTAGGTATTAATTGATTGAACAATTCCTTTATTGAATAAAGTCCATTTATCAGATACATCTAGACTGCTGACAGCTGTGGTGCGCTCCTCTGGCAACTGTAGACTACCGAAACATAAAGGACAGGGAAAGTCCCTGTGGGAAGGAACCTAACATCTCATCTGGAAGAGAGCAAGCAGTAAGCAAATCAATATGATTTCAGATACTATAAAGTGCTTTAAGGATAAAAAATAACAAAGGGATAGAGAGTAATAGGGGCTGATGGAGAACTTAACATATAGAGGAAGGCCTCTTTGAGAAAGTGATGTGTGAGCAGAGACCTGAGTGTCCCAGTTGAGTAATATTTGAGGGAAAGAGTCTTCCAGACAGACAAAACCCAGCCAGTCAGGGACAGGAATGAGCAAAATCTGCTCTTGAAAATGCAAAAACCTAATGTGAGAGAATCAAGTGAGCAAGTGGTAGGAGATAAAATTGGAGGAGAAGGCAAAGGCCCGTTCATCTGGGACTTTGTCAGCCACAGTAAGGCCTGTACATTACCCTAAGTGTTGTGGAAGCCATTCACATGTGCACGGGGGATGCTTGACCGGTGAATAGACTGTAGCATGGTGAACGTGGTAAGCACTTTAGAAGGCTATCGTACCAGTTTAGACATTACAAGAGATGATGGTGATGATGATTACAAGAGGTGATGGGGAGGTACTTAGAAATGGCCATCTTAGGGGTATATTTTGATGGTAGTTACTGCAATATTTGCTGATAGATTGGATGTGTAGTGTGAGGAAAAGGCTTTATTCAGGGATGATTTTCCAGGTTTTTGCCTGAGCAATGAAGTGGTGTCTTGGACTAAGCTAGGGAAGACGGGGAGGAGTTAGTTTTGTGGGGGAAATTATGAGTTCTTTTTTTGCCATATAAAGTTGGATTTCCTATAATAGATTGAAATGGGGATGTGAGTGAGCAGGTTCTGGAGTACAGAGGAAGTTTCCAGATAGTGCTCTGGTTACCTACTGCCACATAACACTCCCGCTCCAATGAAGCTTAGTGGCTTAAAATGACAGCAACATTTATTTTTCTTGCAAACCTGTAATTTGAGTAGGGCTTAATGGGGACGTGTTTCTGCTTCATTTGGCATCAGCTGGGGCAACTTGAAGGCTGGAAGCTGGAATGATCTGCAGCCTGTCTTACTCACTTGTCTGGTGGTTGGGGATGGCCATCAGCCATCTGCTGGGGCTGGGCCAGCACTCCCACACATGGCCTGTCCATGTGGCTGCCTGGTTTCCTCATACATGGTTGTGTTCCAAGGGTGCACATGCCAAGAGAGACAGAACCAGGGTGAAGCTGTATTACCTTTCCCAGTCTAGCCTCAGGAGTCCCACAGCGTCACTTTTGCTTCTTTCTACTTACTAGAAGTAAGTCAATTACTAAGCCTGGCCCCTATTCAAAGGGAGGGGAATCAGACTCCACCTTTGGTAAGAGGTGTGTCAAAACATTTATGGACTTGTTTTAAAACTATTACAGCTTAAAAAAACAGATTTGGAAATCACTGGCATATTGCTGACATTTATACCCATTAGAAGAGATGAAATTGCTTAGGGAGAGAGTAAAGCCAGAAGAGACAGAAGGCCAAGGACTATACCCTGGAAGATCACTGACATGTAGTTTCTCAGAGTTAGAGGAACCAGAAAAGAAGACTCAGAAGGGGAAGCCATTGAAAAAGGGAGAAAACCAGAACAATGTGGTGTCCTGAAAGCCAAGAGATGAAAGGTGCTTCACCAAGGAGAGACAGCGGTGTCTGATACTGTGGATGACTCAGACAGATTAAGCAAGGTGCAGACAATGAACTGGTGACTGGGTGTTGTGAGGTGGAGGTTGCTGGGACTTTGACAAGACAAGAGCAGTTTGGTTGTGTAATGACAACACAAACCTGGTTGGGGGGATTTCAAGATATAACTGGGAGGTGAAAAAGCAAAGACCACTTTTCAGTCTTCTTCCATATGTTCTGTGATGCACAAGGCCCCATGGAGTCATGATATAGAAGGGAAAGGGAGAGAACTTAGGAACAGTGTAAGTGTATGGTAAGTAATTTAGACAGAGTGATTATTTATGACTAGTTGAAAATAATCCCTAAGGACATATTAGCTGCACTTTTTCCCTTACTAAATTTTAAATGGCTGAACAATCTCATTTGAACACATAGGTATGACTATTCATTGATTCTTAAGACTTTTAAGGTAGTTCTTATGTCCTGAATCTAACAGCAGGAAACTTTCAGCAAATGATTGAAAACAAAGCGAGATATTAACGACACAGCAAATTCCCCAAGAAGAGCAGAGACAAGAACCATTTGCATACAAGCACATTTTGTTATTAAATTTTGTTAAATCTCTTTTTCATTTTAATCAGAGAAAAAACAAGGAGTTCAAAATGGGTCTTATGGACATATTTAAGTGTGATTTTTAAACCTATTCTTTAAAACCACATTTTTATATCAATCACATTTTCTAGGTAAGAATATTAATAATAGTTAGTGCTTAGATAGTGATAACTTTCTACTGATCCCTTACCTAACTTTACTATTTCCAATTACTCTTTAAAATACTTAATATTTAATCCCACCATAATGCTATGAGATAGGTTTTTCTTATAAACTAGGAAACTGAGGCTCAGAGGGATCAAATGTCTTGCTTAGCGTCAGCAAAGAGAAGCTGGGGGAGCCAGACTTCCTACTGAACAAGTTGGCTCAGTGTCTGGGCTCCTAATCACAGGGCATACTGCTCCTCAAAAACATGTTCTTCTACCAGAAATGGAAACCAACCTGCAGTTGCTTTACAGCAAGTGTTTCTTTCTGTTTTTTCATTTTCTTATTTTAGTGGACAAATAAAATTTTACTGATATATTTAAAAGGTGTTTTTAAACTCTCAGCCTTGTGGGTGATTTTTTTTTTTTTTATTTTTAGTGTAGAAAAAAATGTACTGCAGTGCTCTAATTAAAAGAGGGCAATGCCAATTGCCCCTGAACTTTCAGAGCAGAGAGTTCTGTCTTGAAAGAAGCTTTGTTTAATAGACAAAGACTATGAAGAAAAAGTAGTGGCAAAGTTTCATCAGGTGTTAAGTTCTGAGCCAATAGCCATCTGCTAGTTCTCAGAAATGTTTAGGATGCCACCTTTCTTCAAGTTAAAATGAGAGGAAAGCCATTAATATGCGATATTAATCATTGCAACCCAGGCCAAAATTCTGTGGGATTAGGATGAGAATCCTGAGTCCACAGTGTAGCCAGTATCATTGCCCACCAATCCAGTGACAGCCAGCTAGAAATAATATTGAATTCAATTCAATAAAAATATATTGCTGGCAGCAGTAGCTCATGCCTGTAATCCCAGCACTTTGGGAGGCCGAGGCAGGTGGATCACCTGAGGTCAGGAGTTTGAGACCAGCCTGGCCAACATGGTGAAATCCCATCTCTACTAAAAATATAAAAATTAGCCAGGTGTGGTGGCGTGCACCTGTAATCCCAGCTACTCAGGAACCTGAGGTAGGAGAATCGCTTGAACCCAGGAGGTGGAGGTTGCAGTGAGCTGAGATCGCACCACTGCACTCCAGCCTGGGCAACAGAGCAAGACTCCATGTCAGATACACACAGACACACACACACGTGTATATGTGTTTGTGTATATATGTGTGTGTGTGTGTATATATATGTATATGTATATATATATATATTTAGCAGCTACTATGTACTGGCATTATTTGTGGTCTTAGGGAACCCAGGAAGCTGACAGTCTCTTTTAGGTGGAAGAGAAACAAGAAAACGGGTAATTAAAGTATATGGTCAGTACAGTAATTATTGTTCAGGGGAGAGATGGGGATAATTTTAAGAGTAGCCGATAGTTCAAATAGGCTTTGAATAATAAATATTTGTGTTTTATAGCAACTAGGTGTGATAGGGGCATAACAGACATTCTAAGCAAAAGGAATACGTGAAAAAGTTTTAAAAGACAAGATACAAGAGACACATGCACGTTACCGTTTTTGTAAAAGTACATGTTTATCATAATATAGTCAAATAATATACAATTAAGGAACTAAAGAAATCCAAAATCTCTATGTGTAGAGACAATCACTTCCATGTTTCCATTAGGAGATGGCCATGAGAATGACACTTGTAGCCTCCCTTCTCACTTGCTCACTCTTTCCTATGAAATGGGAATTGTTTTATCTGATCATGAGCAGACAGAGCCTTAGATAGAGTTTATTTTATTAGGCAAGATGCATTCTGCTCTCTTCCTGCTTCCATGCTGTCATATGGAAGTTTATGTATGCTTATTAGCGCGCGTTCTAGAGACAAATCAGGAGACCCATCACATGCTGTCCCCACTCCTGGAGCCCAGTAAGCACAAAGAGTAAAATTTCCCCTTGTAGATGTGTGGGTAGCAGTCAGATGGCCAAATTAGACTATCTCTTGGATGGGTTGTCTTGAAGTGGGATTTTGCGGGAAGTATTGTGAACTACCTTTGGCTCTAGGACCAATTCAGTATCTACTTCAGACCTAATGGCATAAAAGCTTACGGACACTTTGATTTCTACCTGCTTTCTTTATATACATTCTTTTGTTTATTTGGTTTTGTTTGTTTGAGGCAGGGTTTTGCCCTGTTGCCCAGGCTGGAGCGCAGTGATGTGATCACAGCACACTGTAGCCTCGACCTCCTAGGCTGAAGCAGTCCTCTTACTTCAGCCTCTGAAGTACTGGGGACTACAGGCACATACCACTATGCCCAGCTAATTTTTTTATTTTTATTTTTTGCAGAGAAAAGGTCCTCCCTGTGTTTCCCAGGCTGGTGTCAAACCCCTGGCCTCAAGTGATTCTCCTGCCTTAGCCTCCCAGTGCACTGGGATTACAAGCATGAGCTATGGCATCCGGCCTGAAGAACCATTTTTTAATCCTGTGTTTTATATTCAATCCTCAATTCAAAAACAACTGTTGGCCTAGCGCAGTGGCTCACACCTGTAATTCCAACACTTTGGGAGGCCTAGGCAAGTGGATCACTTGAGGTCAGGAGTTCAAAACCAGCCTGGCCAATATGGCAAAACCCTGTCTCTACTAAAAAATACAAAAATTACCTGGGCATGGTGGCACGCACCTGTAATCCCAGCTACTGGGTGGCTGAGGCAGGAAACCTGGGAGGCAGAGGCTGTGGTGGGTTGAGATCGTGCCACTGCACTCTAGCCTGGGTGACAGAGTGAGACCTTGTCTTAAAAAAAGAAAAAAAAAAAAGCAACTCTTCTTAGTTATACTTCTAAAATATCTCTCATCTATCCACTTATCTCTGCCCATCTTCATCACCTGCACCATGGTTCCAGACATCTTCCTATCTTCCTGGACACTTATAAAGTCCTTCTCATTGGTTTCCTGATTCTACTTGTATCACTCTTTAATGCTACTATCACATAGCAGATGGATTAATAATTTAAAAATAAAAAACAGGCCAAGAACAGAGGCTCATGCCTGTAATTCCAACACTTTGGGAGGCTTGCTTGAGCCCAAGGAATTTTGTACAAACTTCATTTGTACAAAAAATACAAAAATATTAGCCAGGCATAGTGGCACATGCCTGTAGTCCCAGCTACTTGGGCAGCTGAGGTGGAAAAATTGCTTGAGCCTGGGAGGTCCAGGCTGCAGTGAGCCGTGATGGCACTACTGCACTCTGGCCTGGGTGACAGAGCGAGACTCTGTCTCAAAAATAAATAGATACATAAACAGATTATGTTGTTCTCCTGTTTAACATCTTACAAAACCTTTTCATTGTATTTACAATAAAATCCAAGAAACAACAGCCATACCTTACAAGGCTCTTCTTGGTTCTCTATCCTCACTTTGTACAATTGCCTTATATTCTTTCTCTGCTTCTCTACTTTACACTAGTCTTTTTCCATTTTTGTTCTGGAAACAAGTCAAGATTCTTCCAATTCAAGATTCTTCCAATTCATTTTTGTTCTGGAAACAAGTCAAGATTCTTCCAATTCAAGGCCTCTGCACATGTTGTCCACTCTGCCTAGATAGCCTTCCTCTTCTGTTTGTATGGTTCTCCTTATATCTTAATAGGATATAAGGATATCTTAATAATAATATGAACTCTCAGAGAGGCTTTGCTCAAACCAACCTAGGTAAAGTAGCCTTCTTTCCCAAACACAATTATTACATGTCACATCACCTTTCTACATTTCTCTTCTAGAACTTATTACCAGGAATTATTTTGTAAGTTTATTTGTTCATTGTCTTTTCCATTATAGCATATTTATTGTTCATCACATTATTCCTAGTATCTATGACACTGCTTGGCATATAGTGTATGTAAAATAAGTATTTGCTGAAAGATTGAATAATTGAAGTTGTGTTTAGAGTCTTGGATGTTTGAAATATGGATCTCAGAGATGGAAAGCAAGTAGGTGATGGGAAGGCCCAAAATGTGGTCATACATGTGAAGAACTGAAGGTTAAGGTACCCTGGTATAAAAAGGCTGGATGTTTATCCATAAGGACCATCGCCCCAACTGATGATGGGCCCTGGGTTGGGGAAAGTGTCCAATCTGTGTGCTTCTGCTTTTGCCTTTCTTTCTTCAAGTTTCTGGAAAAGCCTTCCCTGGAATGAGATTCCTATTGGTACAACAGACTCGAGGTACAGTTTGACTTCCCTAAATTCTGTCATAATTTCCACTTAATAACTTCATGGATTTTGAGTTCTCATAAACCCAGTGGTGTACTGACGTAGCATTTGCCAACTTTCACTTTGTAAATATTCCCATCATGGCAGATTTCAAGCTACCCACATGACATCAGCAGAGACACAAAATTCCTGAAAATTTAACTGGCTCTTGTGAATTTGTATGAGCTTATTCCCACATACCACTGTGAAGAAGTCCCATAAAAACTTCCTTCTGACTCCCATCAGATACTCCCTTTTTTCCCCAGCTTCCTTTTAAAAATGTTGCTATATTTCCTGGAAGCCATTCATCCTGTTGAATAAACCAAATAGAATAATAGGATTTAGAATTTCCTCAAGCATATTCATACTCCTTTGATAGCAGAAGTAAATTTTCCATGAAGCTACTGAAACTTGAGTATCAGGACCCCTTACTTGGCATGAGTTCCTTCTAACACTCAGGAAGAACCCTAGCGATTTCATATTAGTAATTTTTTAAAAAAATGTTTTCCTTAAATAATATGTGTTTCCCAAATATTCGAAACTTTAAGGCTCTACAACGTCTGAGTCTGCCCCATAGAGAACATGTAATTGGTTACCACATCATAGAGAAAGATGAACATGGCATATATTCTGCAAGTGACTACCACAGTTACCCTGATTTTTACTTCCTAAGTTTGTGAATGAATTGAACCTGACTGCTGTCCCCTCCCCTACCACTGCCAGTGTTTCTGTAGACATTGCTGCTCTGTGGTATTTTTTCTGTCTCCCTATAACCTTGGCTAATCAGGTGGCATATGAACAACCTACAGTACTTAGCATCAGCCAATTTCAAGCCCAGCCTCTTTCAGCAAATCTAGATCACCCATGGACATCGGATTATTGCTATAGTTTTCCTTTGTGGATGGTCCCAGGCCTATCCACAGGCAATTTAGAGTGATGCAGACTCAAAGTTGGTTGGTATTTTCTAGATAGTGAGGACTATACTCTCCTGACACTAGTCTTCAGGACCAGAGTCACCTTTCACCTTTGAAACTGATGCAAAAGGCAAACACAAGGTTTTACAAAGTAAAATAATACCTGTGAAGATACGATGTCAATAATATTTCTTAAAGTATTAGAATTTAAAGATGGAAAACTGGTAGGCATTTTTAGCCAGATAATTCTTCTTCTTGTAATACTTTCAGGCAATACTGCATAAGTACATGGAAATATGAACAGTACGAATGTGGACCCAGAAGGCACTGGGTGGGCCAGTCTGGAAAGAGAGAGCGTATTCACCTATGGAAGCATGCAATTGCATTTCTGACATAATCAGCTGCCTGAATTCCATGCCCAAACTTAGCTAATACATTGTTGTCTGTTAGTAATTAAGAGTTCATTAAAAGTGTTTCCTGGTTCTTTCTTTGGCATTACCTATAAATCAAATTACAGAAAAGTAGATTTGATTTTGAAATCATTTTGGGATTATTTCCTTTTTTGTATATTTTGTTGTTACACAGTATTTACAGACTTAGAAAAGGAAACATGAGAAATACAACCAACTGTGACAAACAAACAAGAAAAACAAAACAAAAAGTAGAAGCAGAACCATGAATTCCAAAGAATACTACATATAAAGCATGAAAAGACAGGTTCCACTGGTTTAAAATTCCAACATAAGGAAAGACAGAATTACTAAGTAGATTTAAAAAACATGAAGGTGTGATTTTATACTATACAAAGGATTTCTTAGCTTTGTTTAAGGTTAAATGATTTCATTTAGTTAGTATCCCAGTACTTTAAGTGTGACTTAGTTTATCAAATTCAAATTTCTTGCAGCTATTCAGGAACAATTTAGTTCAATAAAGTAAAGCAAATCTATAGTATGTTAATAGGTTTCTCCATCATCCATTCTTGAAAGCTCATTTTCTCTCCCAACAATTCCCCAGGTTTCATCCCCCTCTATGAAATTCTGTTTTTTTTTTCCTTTTTGCTCAAACTGCAGTTTGTTCTATGCCCCTGATAGCACTCATTTTACTCTCATATATTCAGGTCAGTTGTCCTCATCTTTCTTGCCCATTAGGTTACTTTTAAGACAGATGCTGTGTCTTATGCCTCTCCGTAACCCATGGTGCCCCCGAACAGAGTTTTAGATATGACAGATAACGTAAGAGTAAAGATGCTTATGAGGTCCTAGATTTTAGAAGATTCCCACTGAGAATGTTAAATATTAGATGTTTTAAGAAATAAAAAGACAGTAGTTTTTAGGCTTAAGATGAACTTTAAGCCACATGTCTGGGTTTGAATCCCAGCTTTGCCACTCTCATACTGTGTGACTGTGGGCAAATTGCTTAAGTTTTCAGGACATCATTTTGCTCATCTCTAAAATGGGGTAATAATAGTTATCTCATAAGCTGATTATGTATACAAAATGGGACAGACACAAAAAGAACTTAAGGCCAGGCACAATGGCTCACACCTATAATCTCAGCACTTTGGAAGGCCGAAATGGGAGGATTGCTTGAACTTAAGAGTTTGAGACCAGCCTGGCGACAGTGTGAGACCCCATCTCAAAAAATTAAAAAAAAAAATAGTGTTAAAAAAAGAGCTTAGAATGGTACCTGGCACATAAACACTTGGTATATGTTTGCAATTATTATTAATCATAAATACATATCGATAAATTGTTTTACATGAATGCATACCACAGGACTGTGTTCCCATTATGTAAAATGAGAACAATGACTTATAAATAAGACCTATAGATTGATTCTGATATTGTGATGATGATATTGGTAATTTTAATTTTTTTCTGTACTCTTAAAAAAATTTCCAAGTTATTTACCTACATGTATTAGTTTATAAATGGGAAATCTGATATTGTTTCTTAAATAACTGAAGATTCATATAAGCAAAAGTTTGAAATAGAAGATAATATAATTTAATAAACTTAGACTAAAAATGTTAATTTGACTTAAAATTATATTGGGAGATTATAAAAATCAAACTCATTTCAAGCATGGACTGCATCAATGAAGAATATAAAGGGAAATATCTATAGGAAACCTCTGGGAACTTTCTGATGAGCTGATGTTACACACTGTTATTCTATGGGAATGTTTGATATCTTCAGATGCTGAGATGGTGTTTGGGTTTCAAACTTTTTGTTAAGGATCAACACTTGAAAAAGGAAGGAGGAAGAAGCAGAACTGGGCAAGGAAGACAAACAGTGTTGCAGGCCCACCAAGGTTTTAGTAACCTGGTGAGGATCTCTAGGGTAGGAATTTTCTGTCTGAGTGTCTCAGGCCAGGTCCTGCCTTGCTTAATCACCAAATGTGGGCTACTTTGAATGTTTTACATATATTATTACATTTAATTCTATGACATTTCAAGGTAATAATGTTATTGGTTTTATATTTATTTTATCCTTAAATTTTCCAGAGAGGACACTGAGGCATAAAGAAGTTAAATGTCTCAAGATCACATAGCTAGCAATGTAATCCCAGGCAGGCTGACTCTAGATCCTGATGAAAGAAGCTCTACGTTACTGTGTTTTAGAGAAAGGAAAGCAGTGACTGCCTTATATGACTTAGGTCACCAGACCTAGCTGAATTTCATTTCGAGGTAATAAAATAAATCATAGATTAAATTTTATCAACATTCTTGGTAACGATTCAGTTTGTGAAAATTTATGGTGAAATAGGTATGATAAATGAACAGATACTATAAAACAAAGTTCTCAAAAGAAAAGGAGGGAGAGTTGTATGCATAAACCGTAAATTAGAAACATTAAAAATGAAAAGAAGGCTCATGAATTCAAAATGAGTTCACATGAATAAATCTCAACAAAAAATAATCTTTTACCAATATGTTTATGCATTTATGGATAATTACAGTAGAATTTTGTTGTAAATGGCATTGCTTTCTGTTGTTAAAGAGATTAAAAACAGAGTTAAGATCTGACTCTAGAATTAGGCTGAATACATATTTGCTTCCATGACATAGTTTGAAGAGGACATTTAAGAAAGTTAAATTTACCAAAGTCTTGTCACAGAGACAAGTATTACCATTCTTACTGATATTACTATTTTGGGATATTTTCAGTGGGTCATTCAATCAACAACTATCTTGGGAGTATCTGTGATGTGTGGGATGCCAAGAACGCCGAAAGTCTTACCTGAGTATAAAATTCTGTGGTTCTTAATTCAAGTTTGCATCCTCTACACTGGGGAGAAGCTAAATATAAGTGAAAGATTATAGGACTGTGTTACTTGGGATTGCTAACGTATCTAGTGGACATTGTTTTTGTGATTATCAAGTTACTCTCCACCATCAATCACAATCAGTAGATATAGGGATACAACTCAGGGTCATTGGTTGAACAGGACTAAACTCACTCAGGGATATGGGTACCTATGCCTTCTTAGGAATAATATTGGAGGAATATGAAGAAGAAAAGAGTAGCTGTGAAGAATCTCACAAAGCTCCAGCAGTATCTTCAAAAAGCTCCGGCAGTATCTTCCATTTTTGCACTGATTTTCTTTCACAGTGTACAAAGTGAAAACAAACAAATGATACCTAGGTGATGAGATGAAGTATTGAAAGACTTGAAGGCTAAGGAAAATACCCAAAGATATCTCTACAAGTGTAGTAACATTCTAAATATTTGAAGAGGTGGGAAGAATAAATCCCTCACTGTCATTTAGAGTATGCTGAGACTAATCCAGCAACCTTAAAGCTCAAGCCACTGCTGATGCATTGACTTTGCACGAATCAAGACCCTAGAGAAAATGGGATAAGCTGGATGTTGACATGAACTCCACTATAGGTAACATTTTCTCTGAAAACAGAAAGGTGGTCTATATTCCATTTTCCCCATGATAACGAAACACAATAATGAAGAAAAATAAGAAAAACCAGCAGAATAAAATTTAGCACACCAATATTTAAGATAGCTTGCAGTTTAATCATTTCAAAAGTATAGCATTTAACTTCAATAACTGATTGAATACTGTATCCCTCAACTCCAGGATACAGTAATCTGGAGTTGAGGGGAAAAATAGCAACTAGTTGATAAAGTCCACAAAAAAATTAACACTTGATTTATCTGTGTTCTATTAAAAAAATACTGAAATTATTAATAGTAGTGATAACGGTAAAAATGAAACCCTGAATTGCAGAACATTTTTTTAATAGAGTTTTCTTTTAGTTAGTTGTTTTGTTTATTCTCAATATACCTGCTCTAATTGTGTGAATAATAGATTGTTTGTTTTACAAGTGAAGAAATTAGGGAAACCTAACAAAAGTAACAAAGGTCAAGTTACCTTTAGCCAGCCTTCCTTCACCAAGAACATCAAATAGAAGCAGGACATGCTACTTTATAAAATGTCTTCTAGTAAAGGGTAACAGTAGCAACGCGTCCTAGTTCTCTTCTATAGTCTTTGCATATTTTTCTTCTTTTGTTCTCCCTCTGTATGTGCCAATTTTTTCTCTTTTCCCACTTGTAATTTTCACATAAAGAAAATAATTATTGCTTCATGGAATCCCATGACACTGCAAAATGAGGAGAGCAGTGGCCCAGAAGGAATGGCAGTAGTTGCATATATACCACAGTGTTGACATCTAAGTATTTAATTAAATCAGACTTTTCCACGGGGATCAGAGAATATTTAAGACTGAATCCCGGTTGAAGGACTCTTGGGCAATCACCACAGCAAGGAAACCAAGAGTTAGATTTTTTTTTTTTCAAACAAAGATATTGGGCAAGTAATGTTAAAAAAACAAAAAGATAGTATGAAATAGCAATTAGTTTTAGATATTTTAATTCTGATGATAATAAAAAAGAAATAATTTTAGCATCTGAAATAGCAAAAGCTGGAGCTTCCTTCCACAGGAATGCAACACCATTCTTGGGGATACAAATCTTGTGGCCGAGATGGTGACACTTAACATCTGTATGAGGATGCTGGCCACCTAGAGGCAAAGCCTGGGAGAGTGATGCGTCAGAGGAACAGAGGAAGGGGCCTTCTTTATCCTCTACTTTTAGTCTTCCTTCTTCTCTATGCTTTAAAAATATTCTTAGCAGTCAAGTTGGGATGCCTATCATTAACCAAATGAAAACGACAGATTCATTTGACTGTCACTTTTACTATTGATACATCTCCTCCCCTGAGGCATTTGTCTAAACAATTTTGCCTGGAAGAATAAACCTTGAAGAGTTGGATTTCCGTTATCATGAATAAAATGGTAGTAACCCACCTTTGGGTTTTTAATTCAAATCCCTTCACATCTTATAGGCATGATTATATACATATATATGAATACATTATATATATATGCATATATCTACATTTTATCAAAACCATCCTTGAATTAATTCAAGCCTCACTTGAATTAGCACATTTGTGCAGTAACTAAGTCAATGGTTAAGCCAATTAAATTCTTTTTTATTTGACAATTTAAATATTAGAGTTTTTCTGAGTTTTCTTTTTTCTTTTTTTTTTTCTGTGAGATGAGTAAGTTTGATGGATTTAAATACTCTTTTTATGCTCTGAATAAGTTTGATGGATTTACATACTCTTTTTATGCTCCTTGTATCCTAGGAGTAGAAAAAAGTTCCTTAAGTCTCTAGTAGCTAACATCCAAAAGTAAAAAACTGATAGACTTGCTATACTAAAATTAAGGCTGTCTATCCAAAAACAACAAAAATATCAATAGACAGACAAGATAATTGGAATTATTAAATAGCAATAAGGGATCATTATCTCTTCTACAAAACATGAATGGAAGAGAAGAAAGACAATAGGAAAAATACATGTAAGGCAGTGGTCTCCAACCTTTTTAGCACCAGGAACTGGTTTTGTGGAAGACAATATTTTTCCATGGATAAGGATGAGGGGATGGTTTTGATATGAAACTATTCCACTTCAGATCATCAGGCATTAGTTAGATTTTCATAAGGAGCACACAACCTAGATCCTCACATATGCAGGTTCACCTCCTGTTGTGCAGCCTGGTTCCTAACAGGCCATGGACCACTACTGGTTTATGGCTCCGGGTTTGGGAATGACTGGTGCAAGGGAAAAGCCTAAATGACCTACAAATATATGGAGAAACTCAAACTCACTGGTAATGAGAAAACAAAATTAAAGTATCAGATACCACCGTTTAGACATGAAAATACCAAAATTATAAAGGTTCATAAAATAAAATATTGGTGCAGATATAGGGAGATGAATACTTTTTTGAGTTTTGTTGATGAGAGTGTAAGTTAATAGAACCAATCTAAGGCAACATAGGTAAGTTAAGCAGATAGATAAGTATCTATATATTTTAAGATTCAGCAATGCAATCCCTGAATATACTTTTTAAATAATTTCTCACTCAGGTCCAGAAGTAGATGTGCTCTCAGGTCCAACAAGTAGATGTGCAGGAGGGAGTTCATCATGGTATTTTTTTGTATTAGGAAACGGAGGTCTTCCTTGGAGTCCTTCACTAGCTAAGGGTGTTGATACATGAAATGGATGCATTTTATGGATTTACATACAGGATTAGAGGCACTGAACCAGGTGTATAAATGACCACATGGGTAGGCTGAATGCACAGTGTTGAGTGAAAAGATAAAATAAGATTTTAGTACAATTTGTGCAAAACCACATGAGTATAAAAAGCAATGCTACATACTCACGTATTTAAATCAAGTACATGAGACAAGATGACTGACAGGTTAAGAATGAGTGGTAAGTGGGAGTAAGGGTTGAGAAGAAAAGGAATAAATTAAATGGAGAGGGGCCTTGCCTAGACTGATTTGCCATGAAATGAGAATGACAACTGAAGGACTTCAAAAAAAGAAATAAAAATGTTAGTAAATGAGAAATTGTATCGTCAACATTTGTGAAAACATCTTACTGCATTTAAAATGAAATTCCAGTAACTTCCCTAGGCCTACAGGGCCCCAGCATGACCAAGGGACTATCTATCTGTCATTATACTTTGGCCCTATTGGCCCTACCTCAGTGTCTGGGACACATCATAATTTTTTATACCTCAGAAACTTTGTTCATTCAGTTTCCTCTTGATGGGAGGCCACTTTCTCCTTCTTTGGGCTTGCTGAATTGTCACTTCTTAGGGGAACAATCCCTGTTCATCCATTCAAAGGGGTCCCCGTCCTTTATTTTATTTTTTTTGAGACAGAGTATCACTCTGTTGCCCAGGCTGGAGTGGAGTGGCGCAACTTCGGCTCACTGCAACCTCTGCCTCCTGGGTTCAAGTAATTATCATGCCTCAGCCTCCTGAGTAGCTGGGATTACAGGGGTCCGCCATGACACCTGGCTAATTTTTGTATTTTCAGTATTGATGGGGTTTTACCATGTTGCCCAGGCTGATCTCGAACCCCTGACCTCAGGTGATCCACCTGCCTCGGCCTCCTAAAGTGCTGGGATTACAGGCGTGATGTAATCCGGGCCCTTTTCCCTTCGTCTTTATCATAGATCCTTCTTTGATTCTTTGTTCACACAACAAACTGTAGTTCTTTTATTTGCCTCTTCACATACCATTTGTCCTCTACCAGCTGGTAAATTCCATTAGGGAAGAAAATATAAATTAATACAAATATGACATGACAATTATTCATTTGTGAATAAAGAGAAATGAAAATTTAAAAATAAATTATGACTTTCCTTCTAAGGTTTTAAAATCCCTATTCCCATCAGCTGATGCTCATAATACTAACCCCCTCCATTATGTGAGAGCTATTTTCCTTGGAGAAACTGAGTCACAGGAGGATTGGTTAAGGTCACTCCATGAGTCAGTAACTTTGCTCGGAATGAAAACCCAGAAGGCTGACTCACTGCATTCTAGGTGGTGAGCGCTCAGCCACAGTCCTCAGCTGCTGTGCCCAGTCAGTCTGAGGTCAGCAACTGATTTAAAGAAATCATAACTGTCTTTAATCAAAACAGATGCAATTCTATAGATATTGACATGTGTTCTGTGGTATTTCTATTTTTCTTAGAAGGAGACTATAAATAAAACAATCAAAGTATGCTAAAACAGTAGGCATGAGAAAGGATTTTTAAAAATTTTATTTACATTGCATACATTGTATAAAAATCCAAAAGCCCTTGAAATAACCATGCATACACCACATTTTACCAAAAACAATATTCTGTGTTCCTCATTACTAACAACTCAAGGGACAACAATACTTTCCAACTGTGTTATAAATGTTTTTTGTTATAAATGAAGTGAGATTTTTACTTGCTGAAATGAATGGTACTTTCGTATACCGAGGCCAATTGCATTGATTCAGCCAGTCAGTTATTCATTCAACATACATTTATTTAGTGTGTGTTATGCACTTTGCAGGGTGACAGACAGAATCCTTACTCTCGTGGAGCTTACATTTATTATTCTATGTGACCATGAATAGATTAAACTCTGCTTGTCCATGAGATGAGCAAAAAAGAGTACACCTATTTTTTTCTTATACTTTTTGCTGAAAAATGATACTATCGTTAAAGCTTTTTCTTATATATATATTTTTCTAAAATTATTGTAGTTTAAAAGCATACTTTACCTGTAGATATTTATTAGTGCTAAATTTTTTTTAAAGTGAAAGTTATTTGAAAACATGTGAATTGCTTGCTATACACACTGAAAATAAGCTGCAGCTGTGTGTAATGAAACGTGGTTTATTGTTCGTCAGAAAGAAAAAGTCGTGATCCATTCTTTCATAAGAATGTGAATATTACAGACTTTTGAAAATCAGACTATGTGTATGGCTATGACAAAACTAAACAGGGGTGAAATATTCAAGTATATGTACTGTGGCCATAGTATACTGTTAAACCTCACAGTAGATATTCAGAATCCAATGTAGTCAAGATCAAGTACAAGTGACTGAGAGTATAATTAAAACGTACACATAGCATCCAAGTAGAAACCTGATAATTAGAGAATTATAGTCTTTCTATGGGCAGGAATATATGTATCTTTTTTAATGATAAATTACAATTCAGGATTTGAAACTCATTTATAAAGGGCATGATACTTTTCTGAAAAATAGGTTTGTAAGATTAGAAAAAGATAAACGTCTAAAAATGGAAGACTTTATACTGAAAAAGAGAATGCCTCCACTTAGTTTTTCATGCAAATAAAATTTCTGTGACTAACGGATACTGGATAACAATATGCTATGTGAAAACCCATGTACGTGGACAGAACTGAGGCCACAAGTCCTGGTTCACAATTATCAGCTTTTAACCACCACTTTATTTTGCATTCCCCTTATTCTCGTTTTTGAGGAATGAACAATGAATAAAAACTTAGAAATGAAGTCGTCAAATTGCAGAAACAATTCTGTGAGAGCCAACACTCTATGGTGAAAAGAGATTGGTAGTTAGAAAAACTGTCAAAATCCCAAGGACGCATATTTTTCCTCTTCGGATTTCAGTTATCCTATGAATAAAGTAGAAATAATGTTTACCCTTTAGAGGAGCTCAATTATGACAATGATGATTGAGGAAGGTGATGATGGTGATGACAATGATAGTAATGATTTATGATGATGGTTGTGGTTGTGATGATTAATTTTATGTGTCAACTGAGCTGGGCTAAGGGATGCCCAGATAGTTGGTAAAGGTTATTTCTGGGTGTGTCTGTGAGGGTGTTTCCAGAAGAGATTATCATTGGAATCAGTAGACTGAGTAAAGAAGATCACCTTCACCAATGTGCATGGGTGTTAGTTAATCCTTTGAGGGCCTGAATAGAACAAAAAGGCAGAGGAAGGGTGAATTTGTTCTCTGCTTGAGCTGGGACATCCATTATTTCCTGTCTTGGACATCAGCACTCTTGGTTCTTGGTGCTTCAGGACTGGGACTTAACATCACTGGCTCACCTCACCAGTTCTCAGGCCTTCAGACATGGTCTGAAATCTACACCATTAGCTCCCCTGGCACACAGGTGCTCAGATTTGGACTGGAACTACTGCAGGTGCTCAAATTTGGACTGGAACTACACCACTGGCTTCCCTGGGTCTCTAGAATGCAGAGGACAGATAATGGTACTTCTCAACCCTCATAATTACATGAACCAAAACCTCATAATAAGTCTCTTTCTAGATATCTTTATGTGTCCTACTGCTTTTATTTCTGTAGAGAACCCTAATTAGGACAGTGGTGATGTCTAACATTTAATTGTGCTTGTCATGTAGCACACTCAGTGTTAGGTGCTGTCCATGCCCTGTGCAATCTAGTGTAGTGGTAATGAAACCACCTTTGCAAAGATTATGACAGTGAGAGAAATCTAACATGGGTGATTGTTGTGGGAAGTCAGGGACACTGAATGGAGGGACCGGCTGAAGCCATGGCAGAAGAACATAAATTGGGAAGATTTCATGGACATTTATCACTTCCGCAATCAATACTCTTATAATTTCCTATGCTTGTCTTTACTTTATTCTCTTAATCCTGTCATCTTCGTAAGCTGAGGATGTATGTCGCCTCAGGATCCTGTGATGATTGCGTTATCTGCACAAATTGTTTGTAGAGCATGTGTGTTTGAATGATATGAAATCTGGGCACCTAGAAAAAGAATAGGATAACAGCAGTTTTCAGGGAACACGGGAGATAACCATAAAGTCTGACTGCCTGCAGGGCTGGGCGGAACAGAGTCATATTTCTCTTCTTGCAAAAGCGAGTAAGAGAAATATCGCTGAATTCTTTTTCTCAGCAAGGAAAAGCCCTGGGAAAAGAATGCACTCCCAGGTGGAAGCCTCTAAAATGGCCGCTCTGGGAGTGTCTGTCTTATGCAGTTCTAGATAAGGGATGAAATACACCATGGTCTCCTGCAGCGCCCCCAGGCTTGTTAGGATTGGGAAATTCCAGCCTGGTGAAATTCTAGTCAGACCAGTTCTCTGCTCTTGAACCCTGTTTCCTGTTAAGATGTTTAGCAGTGACAATACGTGCACAGTGGGACAGGGAACCTCATCAGTAATTCTAATTTCACCCTGGCCTTGTGACCTTTCCCTGTCCATTTGCCTTGTGATATTTTATTGCCCTTGAAGCATGTGATCTCTGTGACCCACACCCTATTCATACACCCCTCCCCTTTTGAAATCCGTAATAAAAACTTGCTGGTTTTGCGGGTCAGGGGGCATCACAGAACCTGCCAACACGTGATGTTTACCCCAGACACCCAGCTTTAAAATTTCTCTCTTTTGTTCTCTTTCCCTTTATTTCTCAGACCAGCTGACACTTAGGGAAAATAGAAAAGAACCTATGTTGAAATACTGGGGGCTAGTACACCCAGTAGGTGATTTTATCTTGTTTCCATGGATAGCCTCACAGGCTGGCTGTCTTTGCTCATTCCTGGGCATAGGCCAAGCTAACCATGAGAGGAATTTAGTTTATAGTTTAACTTGGAAGCAAGGATGATCCCTCCCTAAAATAAATCCCCTCCTTTTTCCTGAGCTGAAACCACCTTTGTAAGACTAATAAAAGGCCACAAGATTAGGAATAAGGTGGGTGGGGGGCACCAAATGCTGCTAACATATAGGTGTAGTTTCTATAATCCCTTAGTGCTCAGGAGTCATGTGGCCAGAAGTCACAAAATTTGTGAATTCCCCATTGCTCCTGTAGATAACATCACAATTGCAGGACTTAGAATTAGTGGATTCAGCACACAAGGACCATTTGCCACACCCCTGTGATTGCATCCCCAACCAATCAGCAGCACCCATTTTCTAGACCCCTGCCCATCAAGCTATACTTGAAAAACCCTAACCTCTAAGTCTTTGGGGAGGTTGATTTGAGTAATAATTCATCTATTAGCATGGCTAGCCTAGCATTAATTAAACTCTTTCTTTACTGTAATACTAAGGTCTCAGTAAATTGGTTTTGTCTGTGCAGCAGGCAGAATGAACCCATCAGGCAATTACACTAAGAACAGGAGCTTTGATGGAAGTCAGAGAACAGGGTCTCAATAGTGGCCTGCCTCTAAACCTCAGTTTCTTTATCTATACAATGAATATAGGCCTGCCCCTAAATCTCAGTTTCTTTATAAAATGGGTGTGGTGGCCCACACCTGTAATCCCAACACTTTTAGAGGTTAAGGCAGGAGGATTGCTTGAGTCCAGAAATTTGAGATGAGCCTGGGCAACATGGCAAAATCCTATCTCTACAAAAAAACTAAAAAATAAACATTAACCTGGGCTTGGTGGTTTGTGCCTGTGGTCCAAGCTACTCCAAGCTACTGAGCACCCAAAGTAGGAAGATCCCTTGAGCCCAGGAGGTTGAGGCTACAGTGAGCTGTGTTCATGCCATGCATTCCAGCCTGGGTGACAGTGAGATCCTGTCTAAAAAAAAAAGGGTTTAATCAGTATATCATATTCTTAAATTTTTTGGTAAAGATCAAGTTAAAAAAAAATATATGTAACCTGCACACCAGAAAGCCTGGTATACGTTGGGTCCCTTTCTTCCTTCTTGATATAACACTTAAATACATGTAGCCACTTCTGATTTGATGAAGAAAAGTTATTAGACCTAACACTGACTTCGATTTCTTTATGTGTGGGGAGAATCACTCACCCCTCCAAAAAAAAAAAAAAAAAAAAAAATAGATAAAACAAACAAAACCCAGAGATGTTATGGGCTTAATTGCATTCCTTCCAAATTCATATGTTGAAGCACTGATCAACAATGCTTTAAAATGTTAAACTGTGACCATATTTGTAAATAGGACCTTTCAAGAGGCAATTATATTCAAATGAGGCACTTAGGATGGGCCATAATTCAATATTACTGATATCCTTATCAGTAAATTGAATTAAATCAGAGGAAATTGACAGCCTGGGCAAGACAGTGAGTTGCTGTTTTTACAAAATTTTTAAAAAAAATTAGCCAGGCATGGTGGCACTTGCCTACAGTCCCAGCTACTTGGGAGGCTGAGGTGGGAGGATCTCTTGAGCCCAGGAACTCAAGGCAGCAGTGAAATATGATCATGCCAATGCATTCCAGCCTGGGAGATAAAGTGAGACCTTGTCTCAAATTAAATAAATAAATATAAAAATAAAAGGAAACTGAGACACACATTGAGAGGCACCAGGGGCATGCACAACCACAGAGCAAAGACCATATGAAGCCATCTGCAAGCCAAAAAGAGAGGCCTCAGAAGAAACCAACTCTGCCAATACCTTAGTCTTGGAATTCAGGCCTCCAGAACTGTGAGAAATACATTTTCCTTCTTTAAGTCATCCAGTCTGTGGTATTTTCTTTATAGCAGCACTAACAAACTAATGCAAGGAGTTTCCCTAACTTCAAGGGGCCAGATTGTCCAAGCACAGCCTGTGATTGACTCATCTGTTTCGCCAATGCTGTGTTGGGGGCACAGGGTTCTAGAAGTTTACCATATAAATTTCACATACAATGTCAGAGGCCTGCTTTTCTTTTGCTCAGAAGGCTGTATTTTTGTGAACTGAATATCTGTGTGATCCATTTTTTGCATATGCCAGTGGTTTAGAAATGTACAATGAGTGAAGCCAAGCATAGAATGTGTTACCAAGGAAAAGAGGATACATATTGTTGATGAACAAATGGATGGAAATGGAAGGAAGTACCCATACTTTCATTCAGCACAAGGTGTCTCCTATCTATGATTCTTTATAAGGTCTAGATATGGTTTGACTGTGTCCCCACCCCAATCTCGAATTGTAGTTCCCATAATCCCCATGTATCACGGGAGGGACCTAGTGGGAGGTAATTTAGTCATGGGGTGGTTTCCCCCATGCTATTCTCATGGTAGTAAGTTCTCACAAGATCTAATGGTTTTATAAGCGGCTTCTCCCTTTGCTTGGCTCTCATTCTTCTCTCTCCTGCCGTCTTGTGAAGAAAAACATGTTTGCTTCCCCTTCTGCCATGATTGTAAGTTTCCTGAGGCTTCCCAAGTCCTGCAGAAATGTGAGTCAAGTAAACCTCTTTCCTTTATAAATGACCAAGTCTCAGTTATGTCCTTATAGCAGCGTGAGAATGGACTAATACAGTAAATTGGTACTGAGAGTGGGGTGCTGCTATAAAGCTTCTACCTGAAAATGTAGAAGTGACTTTGGAACTGGGTGACAAGCAGAGGTTGGAAAAGTTTGGAGGGCTCAGAAGAAGACAGGAAAATGTTGCCAAGCTTGGAACTTCCTAGAGACTTGTAGGGCTCAGAAAACAGGAAGATATGGGAAATTTTGGAACTTTCTAGACATTTGTTGAATGGCTTGGGCCAAAATGCTGATAGTGATATGGACAAAGGTGCTATTATATGGAGATGAGGAACTTGTTGGAAACTGAAGTAAAAGTCACTCTTGCTATGCAAAGAGACTGGTAGCATTTTGCCCCTGCCCAAGAGATCTATGGAACTTTGAACTTGAGAGAGATGACTTGGGGTATCTGGTAGAGGAAATTTCTAAGTGGCAAAGCATTCAAGAGGAAGCAGAACATAAAAGTTTGGAAAATTTGTAGCCTGATGATGTGATAGAGAAGAAAAACCCATTTTCTGGGGAGAAACTCAAGCCTACTGCAGAAATTTGCCTAAGTAACGAGAAGCCAATTGTTAATCACCAAAACAATGGAGAAAATGTCTTCAGGACATGTCAGAGACCTGCATGGCAGACCCTCCCATCAGAAGCCTGAAGGCCTAGGAGGGAAAAATTGTTCATTGGCTGGGCCTAGGGCTCCCCTGCTCTTGGCAGCCTCAGAACATGGTGCCCTGTATCTCAGCTGCTTCAGCTCCAGCCATGGCTAAGAGGGTCCAAATGTACAGCTCAGGCCATTGCTTCAGAGGGTGCAAGCCCCAAGCCTCTGTGGCTTACACATGGTGTTGGGCCTGTGGGTACACAGAAGTCAAGAATTGAAGTTTGGGAATCTCTGCCTAGATTTCAGAGAATATATGAAAACGTCTGATATCCAGGCAGAAGATTGATGCAGGGATGGAACCCTCATGGAGGACCTCTGCTAGGGCAGTGCTGAAGGAAAATTGGGGGTGCTAGCCCCCATATAGAGTCCCCACTGGGGTACTGCCTGGTGGAGCTGTGAAAAGAGGGCCACCATTCTCCAGACCACAGAATGGTAGATCCACTGACAGCTTGCACCATACACCTGGAAAAACCACAGAAACTCAATGCTAGCCCATGAAAGCAGCTGGGAGTGGGGCTGTATCCTGCAAATTTATAGGCGTGGAGCTGCCCAAGGCTGTGGGAGCCCACCTCTTGCATCAGTATGACCTGGGTGTGAGAAATGAAGTCAAAGGAGATCATTTTGGAACTTTAAGGTTTAATGCCTGCCCCGTTGGACTTTGGACTTGCACAGGTCCTATAGCCCCTTTGTTTTGGCCAATTTATTCCATTTGGAATGGGTGTATTTACCCAATGCTTGTACCCCCATTGTATCTAGGAAGTAACTAGCTTTTGATTTTACAGGCTTATAGTTGGAAGGGACTTGCCTTGTCTCATATGAGACTTTGGATTTGGACTTTTTAGTTAATGCTAGAATGAGTTAAGATTTTGGGGGACTGTTGGAAGGGCTTGTGTTTTGAAATGTGAGGACATGAGATTTGGGAGAGGCTAGGGTGGAAGGATATGATTTGGCTGTGTCTCCAACCAAATCTCATCTGAAATTGTAGTTCCCATGATCTCCACATGTCATGGGAGGGACTCGATGGGAGGTTATTGAATCATGAGGGTGGTTTTTCCAATGCTATTCTTATGATAGTGAGTAAGTTTTCATGAGATCTGATGGTTTTATAAGGTGGTTCCCCCTTAGCTTGGCTCTCATTCTTCTCTCTCCTGCCACCTTGTGAAGAAGGACATGTTTGTTTCCCCTTTCACCATGATTGCAAGTTTCCTGAGGCCTCCCCAGCCCTGCAGAACTGTGAGTGAATTAAACCTCTTTCTTTTATAAATTACCCAGTCTTGGGTATGTTCTTGTAGCAGCATGAGAATGAACTAATACAGGTCTTATATTAATGCTTTATTTGTTGAAAACATTCACACTTTATTACCTTCCAAGAAGAAATGTATTTTGACTTCTACATTTGTATGAAAGCCCCTAGGCATCTAGGCTTTCACAAGATGCAATACAAAAAACCAAGCAAGCTACTTTAAAACAATGGCTAGTGACAAAACACATAGGGAGAAGAGAACAACTTACTCTGTGAAATTACGATTGTTTAGAATGCATAAAGGTCACCAGTGGAACAAGTCTCCAGAGTAGTAGCAGGAAAGAAAAACACACATACACAAAATAAGTTATCAAAGAAGACACCAAAGATGATATACAAATTCTCAATTGTTATTGTTTTTGCCTAATATTGAGCAGATCTATTAATAGGCACCCAAGCTATAACCATAATTTAGTTATATTTCTAATGCTTCATCCTCTTGATGTCTCTTTGCACATGCCATTTCCTCTGCCAGGAATGCCCTCCTTGTTGTTGCTCCCTAGGCAACCTCTCATTTCTTTGAGATCCAGATCTCTGTCACGTTCTCTGTGGTACATTTTGACTCTTTCAGACAGCTGTGTCATTCCCTGAGCCACACCTTCTATCCCTCTTGTTAGCAAATCACTGTGTACACCTTTACCATGATCCTTAGCACACACTGTGCCATGACTCCATGTGTTAATATGACCATTTTCCCCAGCAGATCAGGAAACACTTGAAAGCGCGGACTCTATTTTTATTTCCTCACTGCCTCACTCTGCGCCTGTAGAATGAACACAGACATTCAATGTAAGTTTGAAAACAGTCATTTTCAAATATATATGGAAGTATATATTTCAAATATAACATATATGTATATATATCTGTATATATAACATACAATATATAATAATATATACACACATATAGCCTTAGTATATTCTGAGAGTTGAAGAAATTCAAATTTTGAAGAATGATAGCAAGCAAAATGGGAGCTATCATGGAGGCCTCCTTTCCCCTAGAAGTAGCATTGCCAACTGACCATCTTTCTCATGTCTTTCTAATTATTTACCTGCAAATAGATGTGCATACATCCTTCTTCTTTCTTAGGTAACTGGTATTTTACTAAACCTACTGAAGCTACAACATTCTTTTTTCACTTAACAATATTCATGTAGCTATTTTCACTTCAGTAGCTCACTTTTATCAGTAACAGGTGTGTTTCAATAACCACTTACCCATTAATGACCATTTAAGTTCTTAGCTCTTTTTATTTGTTTGCATGCTTGGTTTTGCTAGCACAGCTAATGAAACAGTAATCATCTTTGTACCTATAGCTTTGAGCACATGTGTCGGCATCCATTAAAAGTAGATCACCAGAAATGAAATTGTTCCAACAAAGGAGATGTACATTTAAAATACAAGCAGGTACTTACAATTTTCTTTCCAAAGAGGTTTCATTAATTTAAACTGTACTTGAGGGTATGAGAATGCTCTTTTCAATGAATTCTAAGCATTGCTTAACATCAGCAATCTTTGAATTTGTGCTATTTTGATAGGAAATACTATGTCATTAAGCCTTTTATTTTCCTAATAATTAGTGAGAGTGAATCTAATTTCAAATGTCTATTTAGCATTTATATTTCTTTTGGAATTGTATTTTTAATATTTTTGTCCTTTTTTTTTTCTTTTTTTTTGAGACAGAGTTTTGCTCTTGTTGCCCAGGCTGGAGTGCAATGGCATGATCTCAGCTCACTGCAACCTCCGCCTCCCAGGTTCAAGCGATTCTCCTGCCTCAGCCTCCCTAGTAGCTGGGATTACAGGCATGTGCCACCATGCCTGGCTAATTTTGTATTTTTAGGAGAGATTGGGTTTCTCCATGTTGGTCAGGCTGGTCTCGAACTCCCCACCTCAGGTGATCTGCCTGCCTCGGCCTCCCAAAGTGCTGGGATTACAGGCGTGAGCCACTGCGCCAGGCCATTTTTGTCCATTAAAAATCTGATCACTTCACAATTTTTAGTATATTTTTAGGGGCTCCTTACATAGTTTGATATTAACGTTTTTTGTTAGATGAGTTATAGATGTTTTCTCCCAAGCATCACTTGAGTTTTTACATTTGAATAATGTCTTATCTTTTAAAAGTTTTAAAAAATGTATTTTTTAACACAAGGTCAGATGTATTCGTTTATTTCTTCTACTTTCTGGAATTTTAAAATATAGCTTAGAAAGGCTTACAATATCTCAAGTTATAAAAATATTCTCCTATATTTTATTTATGTCTCATAGCTTAACTTTTTTACATTTAACTTTTTTTTTCTTCAGTGTTTATTTGTATGTTATTTGATATGGAGGGGGTCTAATTTAACAGTTCTCTAAATGAATAAACCATTGTCACAAACCATCCATTACATTGCCCTTATCTTTCCCTTACTGATTTGAGATACACCAGTTTTCATACATTAAGAACATACATATATAGGTGAATTTCCATACCCTATTCTATTACATTCGTCTATTTCTTTATGTCTGCACCAAATCAACAATGTTTTAATTACTTTAACTTTATAGAATCTTGAAGTCTTCTTTTGTTCTTTTTAAAAATGCTTTTAGTGTTAAAGATTTGTCTTTCCATGTGAACTTTAGAATTAGTTTGTCAAGTTTTAATTTAAAAAATCAAAGTAAGATTTTATTTAAAATTCCATGAATTATGGAGTGAGTTGAGGAGTCTCAACTTATTTATGAAGCTGAGTTTTCCCATTTAGAAACATGGCATAATGTCTCTATTTGATTTGGGGTAAATCATTTAATTTATCTGCACATTAGTTTCCTCATCTATGAAATGGGAATAGTAACAGTATTGACTCAAAGGATTGCTATAAAATGAGGATGAAATTAGATAATATAAGGAAAGGCTGAGGTACATTACCTGATATTTAGTAAGTGCTAGTAAATAATAGTTTTTATTATTACTGTAATTATTATTAATCAATTAGACTACTCTGTTTTCCATTACTATTTTATAATTTTCTTAATATATATGGCTAGGTCTTATATATTATCTATTAGATTTAAATTCAGGTATTTTATATTTTCTAATTGATATTGTGGCTGTATGCATTTATTTTAAAAGGTGATATCATAACTGGGAGTGTTTACTAACTCTTACTACTTTTACTGGTTTTCCAGCAAATTTCTTAGATTTTAAAATGAAAAATCATTGTATCTACAAATGCTTTCCAAAATGTATGCTTCAGATTTTACTTGTCTCATTGAATTAGCAATGGTCATAGACTCAAATCTCTATCAAGGCCAATTAACATCAATGAGCGAATTAGGAGCTGAGCCAAAAGGAAGAAAGTGGTGAGAACTTGTTGTAAACTGGGGAATGCATTGCCTGTCTAAAGATATAACAATATGTTGAAGAGGCCAAGCAGAACAGATCCACAGGCTATGTTTGGTCCAAGGAATGCCATTTTTTTGTATCCTGATTTACAAAGTCATCACACTAGAGTAGTCATTCTCAAAGTGTAAACTGGATAATTCCTGGGAGTTCTCAACAGACTTTTAAGGTCAAAACTATTCTCCTAATAATACTAAAACATTATTTGCTTTTTTACTTGGTCAATATTTACACCAAAAAACAATTGGCTTTTTAGTACAAATCAAGGCAGTGGCTCTAAACTCCTAGCACCCATTGCATTTTTTATTGCCACACGCACACAGAGTGAAGAAAATGGCCAGTTTCATTTAAATATATTCTTGATGAAGCAATAAAAATTACAGATTTTATTAAATCTCAACCCTTGAGTACACCCCTTTTAATATCCTATGTGAAGAATTAGGAGTATGCATAAAGCACCTTGGCTGCTTAACTGAGAATAATGGTTGTCTTGAGGAAAAGCACTTATGCAGTTGTTTGATTTACAAGCTGAACTAGCTCCTTTTTTTTTTTTTTTTTTTTTTTTCATGAAACACCGTTTTTCCTTGAAAAGGGGCAGCAGAGAAACTATGGTGATTGGGACTTGTGTGTTTGCAGAAACTTTTTCAAAAGTGAACAAAGTGAGCCTTTACATTAAGGAAAACATCTGACAGTACTTGCTACCAATGATAAAATTCAAGCTTTTAAACAAAAATTAGAATTTTGGAAAGCTTCTAACCAACACTAGGAGCTTCCTGATACTAAAAGATTTTTTCTTTGTGATCAGTGGTGATATTAATGAATTTTTTTGACACTGTATCATGAAATAAGTCAGCATTTAGATCTGCATTACTCAGTGACTCAATATTTTCCATAAGACTAGTGAACAATGTTACAAAACCATGCATAGGCAAAGGATTCATTCAAAGTGAAATATAGACCAATAGATTATAACAGAATGTCAAAAGTTCACTGACAAGGTTTCAGATCCCACATTGCAACTAATCTTTAAGAACCTATAGGTTGTTGAATTTTAGTGTAGTATCAAAGAAGAATATTTACAATCATCCAAAAAGACTGCTCTTCCCCATTCCAACTACATATCTGTGTGAAGCTAGATTTTCTTCATTTACTTCATCTAAAACATTGCAATGCAATAGATAACAATGCAGAAACCAATATGAGGGTCCATTATCGTACATGAAGCCAGACTTTACAAAATGTTTCACAATAAAAAATGTAAATGAAACTTTTTTCACTATTTTTTGAAAAACACAGTTATTTGTGATAAAATTGCTGTTTATAGTAACTGAAAATCATGTCTGTAAAATCACCCATGTGATTTTATTGTTTTTAATGTATTAATGAATATTTTAAAAATCTGTTTTAATTTCTAATATAGTAAATAACAGTAAAAATAAACCATATAAACAAAAGCTCTTGGGCATTCTCAATAATTTTTGAATGTAAAAGAGTTCTGAAACCAAAACATTTGATAACTGTTACACTAGACTTAGTTTACAGAGGTATTTATATTTTTAAAAGATAATTGCTTTTAAAATCTTTTTTGTTGCTATTCTAGGGATGCATTGTATTTGACTGAAAAACTGTTATGAAAATTCATGTCCGGTTTATATTAAAGGAAAATTAAAACAAAAGATTAGCCAGACATGACGGCAGGAACCTGTAGTCAGAGCTGCTTGGAAGGCTGAGGTGGGAGGATCACTTGAGACATGGAGGTTGAGGCTGCAGTGAACCATGATCATACCACTGCACTCCAGCCAACAGAGTGGACAAAGTGAGACCTTGTTTAAAAAAAAAAAAGACAACAAAAAATCATATTTTTGTTATTTTCTAGCTTTCAAAATATGTTAATGCCTACAAAAACAAGAAACTCTAGGCTGACCTTTATTTTTAAAAACATAAAACACATTTATAATGTAAAATCTGTGAAAACTTTAACCTCAAGGAAATGATTTTGTATTACTACATGAACACACAACTTTTACTATTATTTCATTAAAGAGAAGGAAAGAACCAGATGAATCAGGCATGGGTTGTATGGCAATAGAGAGGAAAGGCTTCCTATGGAGGCCAGACACCAAGAACAAGTGTCACTCCTTACATACTGTAATTTGTAGAGCAGAGAGCAGTCTTCCAATCCTAAATACTCTCCTTTTTACTTGGGTATGTGTGTGCGTGCATGTATGTTTGATGGAGGGAATCCAGAAAGTGAAATGTAAGTGAATTTTGCATCACAAAATAGATAACATGAGATATTAATTGAACACTATACACTGATATCAATGAATACCTTAATTAGTTACCTGCTAAGAAAGGAAGATAATAATGTTGTACTTTTCCTTAGTTCAGCTAAAGACAGGGTTCTTTGTCCCATGGCCATGAAAATTCAGGCTCACAGACATTTGAATGGTGAGTAAGACAGGGTTTTATTGGGTGAAAAGGAAAAAAATGGGGAAACAGGACTCTGGCAAGGCCAGAGTTCCCTGCTAGAGCACTTCCCACTCACAGCTTCAATCCCAGGTTCCACACAGGAAGAGGAGGGGCCAGGCTCCTCCCCGCTCCACAAATGGTGCACATGCCCACCGACACTGGGAGTTTTTCTGGGGACCCCGTCTGACCTGGTTGTCTCAGTAAGAGAGTTACCGCAAAGAGAAAGTTGTAGAGGAGAAAAGTGAATACATGGGAGCTGACTGCAACACTAAAAGAGTGCAATTGTTACTCTTTGGCCATTTGTCTAGGGCCTCTCCTTTTTCCTTTGCTCATGTTGGTCTTTTAAACTGCATCTACTGACTCAGGATATCAGGAGGTGCCTACTAAGGCTGGGAGTCAAGTGTGTTTTCTGGCCCCATTAGCCCCTGCCCTACTACTGGACACAGCCGCTTTCAAGATATGGGCTTGCATAGGTGCCCTGGCCAAGAATCAGCCACTCGTAGTACCACAACTTACTAAGGAAAAATATGCTCTTCCCTTTTGCTTGAATCTGTAAATCCTGTCACCAGCACAATGCATTTTTAATAGTAATAAGAGTCAAAGCAAAGGGAAAGTTCAGTGGGTAAAAGGTCTCTGACAAGTCTCCTGCTTCTGATGTAACCCTAGCTTCCTGTGAAGAAATATTATTCTCTCAAATAAAAAACATCAAAAGCACAGATTTTCAGAAACAGGTATTTTTCTACACTTTGGCAATTTAACGTGGTCTAAAGACTATTAAGAAGAATTTTACTAACTATATCCTGAATTACAGAGAACTCAGAGTTGAGAAGAAAAATACCATTACTGAATATTTTAAAAGTCATAGTACTTCAGCTTATTCACCCTGAAATAATTTTGACTGGTTTATTTAATATAACCAAATAACTCATTGTAAATTGGGCTATAAATGTATTGATACAAAATTAAATTTTCAACAAAGTTTTCCTTCAGTGAAATGTAATAGATTGTAATATTGATAAAACTTTATAAATATATGTTGGTAATAATACTTTTGGAATTATATGCCACCGTTTTGTTAATGAATTGAAATAATTTTATCTTTTGGGTGGTAGTTATTCTCATAATAAGCTCAAGAGACATTTAAATTCATTCACATGTTTAAAATTATTTGATATCTTCCCTTAGGTATCACAAAGCTTAATATTAAGAACTAAAGTGAAATGAAATTGTATTACATCTAAATTTATAGACAATTTCTTTTCTCAGCATAATTGAGCAGAAAAAGTAAACTTTTGAGATTAGGAACTTTCCTGCATACTTTGAAAAATTTAGAAAAATGATTGACATTTTGCAAATTTCAAGGTTTACTAAATTGACCAGAATTTTTACTGGAATGTTAAACTAGCCTATCATTAGAAAGTATACCTATTATGTGCTTTTTTTTTTTAAGTAGTCAGAAAGAAAACATTTAGAATAAATATTTTAGGCACTGTCATAATATGTAAAAATGTAATCTGGAAGATGCTCTACAAAGTAAATTCTTAGAGTGACTCATTCTCTATTACTATTCTACAGTAACTTTTTCTAAATAAAGGACTATTTTGAAGTGAGAATCTACTTCACAAGAGAGAAAATAAAAGCTTCTGGACTTAGGAAAGCACATTTAGTCAATATGATAATCTTCTGCTGTGCAGCTCTTGGAGGTCACTCAGCAGATCTGTCATGACAACCCAAGGCGCATTCCAGAATTTGGCTGTCAACCAGCCATCAGCAGTTTAGAATATTCCTGACAGGGAGCACTGACTGTAAAATCATCTCCACGTTTTCATTAATGATATCCCTAACTGTTAAAGTTTGAGGTGCATTATAAAAATCACTGGGAAGTCCCAGACAGACAAGGATGCATCATTCACTCTACCCAGAGGTTGCAAGTTGTCGTGAAAAAGTTCACCATGAGTCCAGGGATTTCAGTTCAAGTCTCGGCGTGGCTATCAACTAACTACATGGCTCTGGAAGAGTCTTACCTCTCTGGTTTCTTCACACGCATCATCCAGCAGTAAGAGATTGGGCCAATGGACCCAGGACATTTCTTCTGGTGACCTTACTACATTCCCGCTGTAGTTACTTTGAGAATTTTTTTTTTTAAACTAGCATGAATATGTATCACTGTTTTTAAAAGAAAAAAAATTAACCTTTAATAATGGCTAGAAAGGCAGAAATTCTGAAAAAAAAATTATGATATTTGAGAGACAAAATATATACCTCATATAGAAACACAGAATTAAAAACCAAATTGCTAATTCATTTTCTTTTTCATCGTCCCTCTCCAGTAATCCTTCTTTAGTTTTTACCAGGAATGTAGGGTATGACCAAAATTAACAAAAGCAATTCTCTGTGCATGGTTAATTCCTAGCCAGTGATCAAGGGTGAAATGCAATGACCATGTATTAAAGGGTCAGAGCGGTGTGTCAGGGGATGGTCCACAAAGCCCTGGGACCCTGTGACCCGAAGTTTGTTTCTTTGTAAAGTTCAAAAAGGGACTCAGTGAAGTGCTAAATAACAAACTTATCCACAGGTGTCTGAGAATGGATTTACTCCACAGGAAATTAAATCAGAGCTGTTGAAGGCTTGAGTTCAGCTTTTTTTTCTGTTTTTTAAATCCAGTTTCTTATAACATAACCTAAGGCCTATTTTCATCACACCACTCACGTCTTTATTTGTGCTTATGGAATGCTGATAATCTGAAGCTTTTTTTTAAAGGTTAAAAAAGGTTTAAGAGCATTTTTAAAAGGTTAAAAAAGGATACGTATCATGAACAAAGTTTTGTATTTGTTTTTTAAATAAAACCTTAGTGTGAAAAACAAAACAAAAAAGCAACACGAAAACAACAGCAGGAGCAAACTGAAGATTCCCTACCTGAGACAGAGAAGAACTAAAATATATAGCAGCACATTTCAAGATACTATATGGTAGAAGATCTCCCTTAGATTAATGTGGCGTTTAGTTCTTTGTTGTATGGACAGGAATGCAGCACATTTTTATTACAAAAATAAGGAGCTGTTCGGGTTGTACTTTTTAGTCTCAAAATTGGAAAGGTAAAACCAATAAAGATGATAGAGCATAAAATAAAACTCTGTGCTAAATAGAGCTTACATTCTAATTTACAAGTTTACTTGGAAACATTTATTCTTGATAAAGGAGACACCTGGCTCTACTTTTCCAACTGCATTGGGCAAGAACTACTAAAAGAAGAGAGAAAAGAAAGGAGAAAAGATTGTGAAAGAATCTTCCAGTATCAATAAATTCAAGCAGAATTTAAAGTTTTGTTACAGAGATGAAAAGCAAAAAAAAACAACATATAGTTCTAGGTTCAATTATGCTTTATCAAAAAAATTCATTTGTTTTCTCTTGATTTTGAGTGAGAAATGCTCTCTCTGAAAGTATTTGTCACTGTTGAAGACCTTTTCCTTGCTTTCCATTTTGTTACCTGGTCTTATTTTTTTTTTCCAATTGCCTAAACTTTCCTTCCACAATTTCTTTTCCTGGCTTTCCTCCCTCTTCTACCTCATTTTTTTTCTGTGGCCATTTAAAGTCAGGGCCAGTCTCCAAAGTCCCCATAGGCACTTTAAATACAAGTCCCTGCAGGGGCAGGTATGGGTGGGCAGTGAACAAGGAGAAGCTGAAAAAGCAGCCAGGCTGCAGACCAAGGAGAAGATGAGCTATACTCATATAGTCAAACACAAATGAAAATCCCCAGAGAGAGTGGCAGAGTGACATGTCACCCTGGTTCTAGCCAGCTCCCCTATTTCTTCTATTCCAGTCCCTCTCGAAGTGGCCTCTACTTCCTTTCAGTCCAAAAGATTCCTGAAGTCTCTCCAATACCCTTTTTTTCCGTTCTGCAGTTATCTCTTTGCTATCTTTGTGTACATTTTTGAAGCATAGCTTTTCCAAGGTGCTCTCCTGACTCATGGTGCTAGAAAAGTAGTTTACTTATCCTAGAGGAAACTGACATTTAAAGGAATCCTCTGTTAATGATGTGTGGCCACACATTATTGTCACTTTAGGCAAGTCACTTAACCTTTCTAAACATTAATGCCTCAGTTGTAAAATGGGGATAATAATACTCACATGGGTTGTTGTGAGATTTAAAAACAAACCCTATTAACGCGTTGCATGGATGTTAGCAACCCTAATTATTACTAGTAGTAGATTAAAAAATTCTCAGTTTTTTAAAAATTGAGATTTCTCTACTTGAACTCTGCTTTTATTGGAAAGCACCCCTGTATTTTTGAAAAGGCAGAAGCCCCACAACTTAGTTTATTTTAACCAATCATTCTCTATCACCTGGCAGTGTTCAGTGATCACTGAAAAATCCCATCCAAGAAGATCTATGAAACTAATATCTTGAATCTAAAATTTAAAAAAAAAACAACTCTTTTTACCAAAAGATATTGACACAGCTCAATGATTATAACATTTCAGTCAGACTAAAGCAATGTCAGAAATAAACCTACAAGGTAAACAAAGCAAAAAAAACTAAAAAGGTTGACTCTTTAGGCCTATTGCCTATTGTAGAAAATTTTAAAAGCAAGCCAATTATTAGACAAGAATATAATCAAAAGTAAAAAATAGAAGTTGAATGATGTATGTCTTCTATTGACAGTATCATTAACAAAACCTACATAGCCATTAAGGTAACCTATTAGTAAGAAAGATTCCCTTTACTGATGGTGTTGAGCTTACGTTATTCATCTTTGCTACTGGCTGCCAGTAAAGATTTACAATAACTTCCAGATGCAAAATGTGCCAGGCTATGGCATGCATGCATGCGCATGAGCACACACACACACACACACACACACACACACACACACACTCTTGGGCTCCAAGGTTTACAAATCTAGTGGTGTGGGCCTTTAGATTCACTCACATAGCCATTTCCCACCAAGGCCATCCATGATTCCAAGATGGCTGAGTGGGGTTGGGAATACATAACACCTAAATTGGCCAGAACCGACATTATCTTTTACTTATATCTCTCCTTGGTTGGAGCTTCCCTAGTATCACTATAAATATGTATAGAATGCAAATGTTTCTGCATTTAAGGCACTGCCTGATCAATGGTAGATAAAGCAGAAATAGTATACATTTGTTTTAGTCATTTTGAACCTCAAAGAGAAGGCATGATGCCTTCTAAATTCTTTTATCCTAGAAGGCTCTTCTACTACTATTTATAGTTATATATTCAAATAGTTATGTAGGAACAGTCAAGTAGAATCTAAGGCCCAATCAATATGTTGTATGAGGGGTTGTACAACTCCAAATATTTACAGAGTCTGAGCCCTAGGTTTCTACTGTCAAAATATTATTACACCCGATTGACATACCAAGGACAGGGAAGTGGGAACAGTTTACCCTAGGTACAGGCAATAAGTGTGCATATTATCTATGGTTGTGTTCTTTATTATTCCCCAACACCAGCAATTCTGTACAATATCAGTGTTAAAATACCCTCGCCTGAAAAAAATCTTTGGTTAATTTAAGTTAAAAATTAGCAAGTTTTTCTGTAAAGGGATAGATAGTAGCCATGGGCAGCAGACTGGATTTAGCTTGTGGGCTGTAGTTGGTGGAACTCTGGCTTAAATTCTAAATAGTTGTTGTGGTTAGTGATGAGTTTTAATAATGTATATAAACTTACAATTAGCATATTTTATTACTTATCTTTTAATAAATGCTATATTCTACATGCACATTAATTCAGAGAGCTCCCAACTATTCAGTGGCCCTGAAACATGCAGACTTTGCTACAGGGTTTAATTTCTAGAGTAAATTCTTGACAGTAAGAAATGGTTTGAGCTTGCTTCTGCCTAGTTCCTGTCTCAAACCCCTGTGGTACTATGTATTTTTAGGTTTAGGCAGTAGCCTACACCTGTAATCCCAGTACTTTGGGAGGCTGAGGCAGGAGGATTGCTTGAGACCAGCCTGGGCAACATAGGGAGAACACCATCTCTCCAAAAAATAAAAAAATTAGCTGGGCATGGTGGGCATGCCTGTGGTCCCAGCTACTCAGGAGGCTGAGGTGGGAGGATTGCTTGAGTCCCGGAGGTTGAGCCTGCAATAAGCTATGATTATGCCACCGCACTCCAGCCTGGGCAACAGAAAAAACCCTGTCTAAAAAAATTAAAAAATAAACAAATAAAATAAACATTAATAACTGTGATGTAATAAGGAAGAAACAGAAAGTGGATTGTTTCATTTTATTATACTATTCTGGGTTAGCAAACTATGGTCCATGGGCTATAACTGGCATGCTAAGAGTGATGTTTACATTTTTTGATATTTGAAAAAAATTCAAAAAATATTTTATAACGTGAAATTACATGAAATTCAAATGTTAGTGTCTAAAATAAAGTTTTATTAGAACATAGTCATACTCATTTGTTCATGCATTGCTGCAACAGCAAAATTGAGTATTTACAAGAGATCATATGGCCTATAAAGCCAAAATATTTATTACAGGTTGAGTATCCCTAATTTGAAAATCCAAAATCTGAAGTACTCCAAAATTCAAAACTTTTTAAATGCTGACATGATGCTCAAAGGAAATGCTCATTGGACCATTTTGAATTTCAGATTTTTAGATTAGGAATGCTGAACCAGTATAGATTGCAAATATTCCAAAAATCCAAAAAAAATCAAAATCCAAAACACTTCTGGTTCAAAACATTTAAGATAACGGATACCCTTGTCTGGTCCTTTATGAAAAACATTTACCAACCCTAGTTGTATGTGACAACCTGGAGTTTTCATATTTGTTTAAAGGTTAAAACAGCAGAACAGGATGTGAATAGTGAGGTATAATATTTTTGTTTTGTAAGTATAAATTTTAGCTCATACATGAACATTTTTTCTAATTTGGGTTGTATATCTAAACTTGAAAGTTACCCTTCTCTTTTGTTTGAAAACAACAAAAGGAAACTAATGATTAATACTGCTGTACATCGTATTATTGTACTAGGGCTGCCATAACAAGACTGAGTGGCCTAAACAGCAAAAACTTATTTTCTCACCATTCTGGAGGCTAGAATCTGCTAGGGACTGAATGTGTTTCCCCAAAATTCATATGTTGAAATGTAACCCCTAATGTATTTGGAGGTGCCCCTTTGAGAGGTGTTTAGGGTTATCTTAGGTCAGTAGAGTAGGGCCCTCATGATGGGATTAGTGCATTTATAAGGTGAGGAGGAGACACGTGATGTCTCCCGCTGTGCAAACACCAAGGATGGTCATGTGAGGGCATAACTGGGAAGAGGGAGCCCTCACCAAGAACCTGACTGTGCTAATCCCAGCACTTTGGGAAGCTGAGGCAGATGGATCACGAGGTCAAGAGATCGAGACCATCATGGCCAACGTGGTGAAACCCTGTCTGTACTAAAAATACAAAAATTAGCCGGGCGTGGTGCCGCGTGCTTGTAGTCCTAGCTACTCCGAATACTGAGGCAGGAGAATTGCTGGAACCCAGGAGGCGGAGGTTGCAGTGAGCTGAGATCACACCATTGCACTCCAGCCTGGCGACAGAGTAAGAAAAAAAAAAAGAAAGAAAGAAATGTTTGTTGTTTAAGCCACCCAGTCTTTGGTATTCTGTTATGGCACCCAAACTAAGACGAAGTCCAAGATCAAGATGTCAGCAGCCTTGGCATCTTCAGAGGCCTCTCTTTGCTTGCACAAGATGCCCTCTTGCTGTGTCTTCACACGTTTTTTTCTCTGTGTTCACATCCCTGACGTCTCTGTTTCTCCAAGGACACCAGTCAGATTGGATTGGAGCCCACACTAATGGCCTCATTTTACTTAGTCACATCTTAAAGGCCCTGTGTCCAAATACAGCCACATTCTGGGGTGCTGGGGGTTAGAGCTTCAACATGTAAATTTTGGGGGGGCACATAATTCTGTTCATAACATACATGATGAAAAAACATATATTCCTAGTTTTTTAAGCCTGAAGGGAAATTAGATTCTAATTGTTCATTTTAGAGCTGAGGGAACAAAAGATCCAGACTTTTTCATGCAAGTGAGTGTGAAAACCTGGGAGCCCAAACCTGAGCTTGATGCTTTTTCTTCTATGGTATATTTGTTTTCTGGAGTTTTTTTTCCAGGTTTTTTCCTTCAAGGAAAAATCAAGCATCATATGTTTTCCATAAAACACAGCAATTTAAGCACTATTTCAAGAGGATAAAACTATTTGTGAAAGGAAAATGTAATTTTAATTACTAAACATCAAAGGAATTACACAAACAATTATTTTTCCTAAATGAGGTGTATTTTAAAACTGAGGAAAATTTTTTTCTGCACATTTCCCAGTTTTCAAAAGTCATTTAGTGATTGTTCACACATGAACAACACACATTGTTATCTGAGGTCTGAGGCCAGCAAGTTTGTTTATAAAGACCTCAGATGATTTCAAAATGCTTGCTGTTTATCACATACATAGGCTTATGAAATAGGCAGGGGAGGGTGAGAGGAGGTATTATCTTATAACATCTACCAGAAAACCATCTTGAAAGCATAACTAAGATTTTTCAGATAAGAAAGAAGCACATAGTGACTTTTTAAAGGATTAAGGTGACCCAGACTTTGCAGGAGCCTTTTAGTCTGTACAGATGTCCAGGAGCTACCCTAGAGTTTTGAATCCATTAGCAGAGATGGGCAAGGTGTACTTTAAAAACTAAAGATAACTGGCTTATTTCCCTGTAGTGTGTCTGGACAATCTGGCAACATTTTAGACTGTTGGCCTACATTTTAGCTACTGGGATTCTGGCCTCAACTTAATTCTGTTCTTTTCTGTAATCTCTGTATGGATGGCATAAATTAGGAGGCTCGATAATACTTATGGAATGCTTTAATGCATACTAATTAAATTTGCAATAATAGCTAAAATTTTTATTTTTTTCTCATGGAAATAATATTGCTGTATTTTATCTTCCTTTGTTTTTACTGGACTAATTTAACACTATCTTATTTTCTTGAAGAATTTGGTTAGTCATCTGAAGAAACATCAAGGAGTTTTTTAGCAAAAGAAATTTTAGAGATAATCTAACCAAAGCACCAGTTCTTAAAGTAGAAGAATCTGAGATGTAAAAAATTGGGGCAATATTCTAATGCCACATAAATAGTCTCAGAGCAAGAACCTGAATCCATGTGTCATAATTCTTCATCTTATTCTTCCTGATATGCCATGCAAAATATAAAAATTTAGGTAAAACTTCATTGATCCTTAAAGAAAATATAATATCAAGTTTTTTCAGTGGAAGAGGAAAGGTTTTCTTGTCTTACCTCTCTAATAGAAGTTTTTGTTTTCTTCCTTCTGCCAACTTTGATCCTTACTAGATATAGTATTCATTTTAGTCAAAGTATAAAGAGAAAATAATTAGGACTTGTTACCATTAGGTCTTGAGAGGTCAATGGTCACTCAGATGGAATTTTGGCAAAGGAGGAAGCTTTAAAGTGGTCATTATATTCTAGAAATTGGTCCTCCAGTTTTCGAGATCATTACACTTTTTTTGTCATTATACTTTAAGATAATGAATCAATTCTTATGAAATGACATACAATAAACTTACTAGAAGTGGGTTTATAAAGAATGTCCAGTGACTAACTTATAATGAAAAAATAAAACTATCAACAGGACAGAATATTTATGTTTACTGAACAGCAAATAGAGTGCCAAATTATAATTGTGGCGTTGCTCAGCATGATTTAATCAGCATCAGGCAAGTTCGACAATTTAAATTGTTTGTGTTGGCAGTCTGTTAGTAATCTGATTTTTTACTCAATAAGCTGATTCACAAATTTTTAGTTAATTTGACATGTTGAGAAGCTAAGGTACAGAGAAACTTTTAAAGAATATATTTTGTGTCTGTATATGAGTTTATGATATTAACAAACATCTTTATATCTGTAAAAAACTATGCATTTTACTAAGCACATTTTATTACATTTATGTTAGTTATTACAGTTGCTTATGATTATTTACATATGTAAGAAAGCACCTGACATGGTTTGGCTCTGTGTCCCCACCCAAATCTCATCTTGAATTGTATTCCTATAATTTCCATGTGTTGTGGGAGGGACCCGGTAGGAGATAATTTGAATCATGGGGGTGGTTTCCCCCATACTCTTCTCATGGTAGTGAATAAGCCTCACGAGATCTGATGATTTTATCAGGGGTTTCCACTTTTGCATCTTCCTCATTTTCTCTTGCCCTGCCTTTCACCTCCCATCATGATTCTGAGGCCTCCCCAGCCATGTGGAACTGTAAGTCCAATTAAACCTCTTTTTCTTCCCAGTCTCAGGTGTGTCTTCAGCAGCATGAAAACAGACTAATACAGCACCTATTCTAAAAAAAATTTGGACATTTTTCAATTTTTCACGGTAATGTTTCAGATCCCTACCTTTATAGTAAAAGGGTCCTTTGGATATGTTTTACTCACTGTTATAATGTTGCTTTAAAATCACCTACAAATAAAAGTCTGTAACTCTGATTTAAATGCTAAGTGATCAGACTCTCTCAGACATAATCCTTACCCTTCAGTAGCCTATGAAGATAGACATGTATATTTATCTGAAATGTCCACTCTTCTTAATTATTCTCTATCAAAATTCCAGTCTCTCATTTTTTTCTAAACTCAACTGAAAACTTCTCACCTCCTTAAAAAGAAAATCCCATGATAAATTCTCTCTTATTCTGATTATGCTGTTTATTATTTCAAAATTGACATACTCACTTTGAGCTCTATTAATATGCATTTGTTGATTTTTAATGTGCTTTTTGTCCATCTTATTTAATGATTGTGGTAGCCAGCCTCTGAGATAGATCACAAATATGCTTCCCTTCTGATATTCATGGCCTTAGTATTATCCTTCCATAGTAGATAGGGCTAAATTGGATAATGAATTGGTCACTGTGAAAATGACAGAGACTTCTGAGGCTAGATCATAAAAGACATTGGAACTTCTTCCTTGCCTCTTGAATCCCATGTTCAGGAGGAGACCACTTCCCATGTTAGGAGGACATTGGAGAAGCCATAGGGAGAGGTTCATGTAATGAGGAACTAAGGCTTCTTGTCAACATTTACGTGAGAAAGCCATCTTGGAAGAGGATCTTGCAGCCCCAGTCAAGCTTTCAGATAACTGTAGCCCAGGCTGACACCTTGACTGCAACTCATGCAAGGAAGGTCTTGAGCTAGAAATACCTAATTCAGCTGCTCTCATTTTCCTGAAAAACTATAAGATAATAATGTATAGTTTTAAAGTTATGTTGGATACAGTGAGTTCTAGATTTCTCTTCAAATAATCAGTATGTCAGTATGTTCAGTTCTTTGTCCTCCATTTTAAAGTTTAACTTCCTTATAGTTTCAGTAAACAACCTTTTCCACCAGTTTTAATCAGTAGTTCACATCATTCTCCTGGTCTCCTGCTCCATTCTGACTTATCCTGGTCACCTGCTTTGACCTGAATCATCCCTGGTCACCTGCTCTGACCTAAGACACCTTTAGTTACCTATTCGGTAATGATTTTTCCCATCAAACTGCTCACCCTGCCATTCTGGCTTATACCACTGCTCTCTTTAAAACAGCCAATCAGAATTAGCTTAGACTGTGTGGTCCAACCCTAGCCAGCAGGGGAATGACACAGCAGTAGGGGGTACCTGTATCAGGAATAAGAACCCCTTCCTCTCCCTTGTTCAGCTGTGCTCTCGCTATTGCTCCATCCATGAGTCACATCCTTCTATAGAAGTAAAATTGCCTTGCTGAGAAAATTTTTTGTCTGAGCGCTAGTTCTTCTTTTTGGCACTGAGGAACAAGCATTTGTTTCTAACAGTTACTAAGTTTTGCAATATTGTGTTATGCACAATAAGTAAGGATCAAATGTTATTCTAATATTTAAGCTATTTGCTGTCATAAAATTTGTCATTTATTTCTTTTTTTGCATAATCCTTCAGGCATAGAAGTAGCAGAAGAGATGTATGAAGTTAAAGACAAATGTAAATAAATAGTGATCTTGCTACTGTGATTTGGTGTCATAGTGTTTCTCTCTGTGAACTCACTGAGGTGCAGGGACCACAGTTTTTATATTTAGCAATCCAAACTAGATGAGCATGTGCCATTATTAACCTTTTTTCCTAGGTCAAATTCTCAATGATGAAATAACTCCAATAGCTGGTAAAATGTCCACATTTTTTCCCCCAAGTCCCCATATTAGATAGTATTCTGTTGCTGTTTTAGGAAACTATTTATTGTTATTTTCACACATACACATACTCTGAATCTGTCTCTCTGTCTCTCTCTCTCTCTCTCATTTTCTCCCTCTCTCCACATATTTTTCCCTCTTCCCTTTCTTCATTTTTTAAATGGCTAGCTGAGGATTAGGCAAAGGAAAATTCTTTGAATATTTTTATTATTGATTAGTAATAGTTTTAAGAGCTTAATACATGCTTGCCTTTTCCCCTCTACTAAGTAGGAATAGTCCCTAAGTAGGAATAATCTCTTCTTTGGAAAGCAAATATAAAAGGATTGCTTCAGTTTTTTATCTTTGACTTCTTAGTATAACTAATCATTTAAAAATATATCTGAATATGAGGTAATCAATGAGAAGTTGAATAGAAATAAAAAATATGTTGATGGGACAAGCAACTAAGAGGGTTTTAACTTACAGCAATTGATTATTTATGATGAAAATTGATAACCATTTCACAAACATTTTGAAATTATTCGTAGAAAAAAATGTTATTATTTAGAAGATATATGAGTCAGAATTCTCCAAAGAAACTGAATGAGTAAAAAACACAGATAGATAGATGATAGATAAATAGATTTTTTTAAGTAAATTGGCTCGTGGTTTTTGGGAGGATAGCATGTTTGAAATCTATAGGGCAGGCCTGCAGGCTGGAAACTGTTGGTAAGAAGTTGATGTTGCATGCTTTAGGTAGAATTTCTTCTTTTTCAGGGAAACCTTAGTGTTTATTTTTCAGACTTTTCAACAGATGGGACAGGCCCACCTACTTTATGGAGAAGAGTCTTCTTTACTTAGCCTGTAACTGCCCAGTGCGTTCACCTTGCCCGCTGCCCAGACAGAGCCAAATTTATCAAGACAGGGGAATTGCGATAGAGAAAGAGTAATTCATGCAGAGCCGGCTGTGCAGGAGACTGGAGTTTTATTATTACTCAAATCAGTCTCCCCGAGCATTCCATGAGTTTGTAAAGATAATTTGGTGGATGGGAGTGAGTCTGGGATAATTTGGTGGATGGGAGTGAGTCTGGGATGGGAAAATTTGGTGGATGGGAGTGTGTCTGGGAGTGCTGATTGGTCAGGTCAGAGATGAAATCATAGGGAGTCAAAGCTGTTTTCTTGTGCTGAGTGAGTTTCTGGGTGGGAGCCACAAGATCAGATGAGCCAATGTATTGATTTGGGTGGTGTCAGCTGATCCATCAAGTGCAGAGTCTGCATCGTACCTCAAGCAGCTTAGGAGCAGTTTAGAGAGGGTCAGAATCCTGTAGCCTCCAGCTGCATGACTCCTAAACCATAATTTCTAATCTTGTGGCTAATTTATTAGTCCTACAAAAGCAGTCTAGTCCCCAGGCAAGAAGGAAATTTGTTTTGGGAAAGGGCTGTTACTGTTTTTGTTTTAAACTATAAACTAAGTTCCTAACAAAGTTAGTTCACCCTACACCCAGGAATGAACAAGGACAGTTTGGAGGTTAGAAGCAAGATGCAGTGGGTTAGTTCAGATCTTTTTTCACTGTGTAGTTACAATTTTGCAATCATGGTTTCAAGTTGACTGCAGATGCTAACCATATCAAGAAAATACCTTCACAGCAACACCTATAGTAGTGTTTGAATAACTGGCTACTCTAGCCTAGCCAAGATGACACATAAAACCAGCCATCAAACAAAGTATACATTTAAAATTAGCCATGTAGATTTCTTTCTATTAGTCATAGGAATTATAAATTCCCAAAATGAGATTAGCATAATAAATGCTTCTATAAGTTCCCCAAATGAGATTAGCATAAGTAAATGCTTCTTCAAAGAAGTCAACCACACATTAATATTTTTGTTGTTCAATAACTGAAAAAAAATTTTTTTAATTAGTGAACTGGTTTAAGTCTTAGCACCATATCTGAAAAGACTTCTTGTGTCTCAGAAAATTTCCAACTTTTGACACTAAACTCCTTCCCTTTCTGGAAATAAAATGAGCAAGTGTCTCTTGCACATAATCTGAGTGAGAAGAAAGTTAAAAGTTGCATAGTCCCTAAAGCACCCATGATTTTTTTCTTTTTATCTGCTGTGAATTATTCACTGGTAGAAAGCTTTGGTTTAATTTTAATCACAAACAGCTGTTTCAGGCAGATGCTCAGGGTTCAAAGACATTATGTACACAATTATAAAAATGTTCATTTTTAGAAAAGAGTGAAATAACATAGGTATAGGATGCCTAGGGTTTCAAATTACATCCTTTTATTTTATTTAAGAATCTATCTACCTAAAATAATTCCTCCCAGCAGCTAAGAAAACAACTCTGTTATTTCTGAAGGCCTGGAAAAGCCAGTGTCAGGTACCCCGGAGAGGCTGACTTTTGTCTTCTCTCCAGATATGCAAATTGTTTATCTCAGAGCAGGGATATTTACACAACCTCCAAACAAATGCTGCTTATCTTTACCATTAGCTCTCTTAACAAGAATCACCCATAGGGGCTGACTCAATTACATCTTTCAAAGTAAATTCTTGGCTACTCGCCCTTCCAATAGGCTGCCAAAAGATACTAGAAGGAATTTCTACCTTCTGCTAACATTTCTGAACCACTTAAAATCCAGCTGAGAATTCCAAGCACTTGCCCTCCTGGGATGTGAATGTTTGTCCTCCTGAGATGTGAATGTTTGTCCTGCCTAGCAGATGTGTTGTCACTTAGCTTCTATCATTTATTATGGCCTGATGGATTTGGTTATTTCTGAAAAGGTGACTCAACACTTAAGTAACACAAGTAGAAAGGCAATATTTTTGCAATAGATTCTGTGCTTAAATTTAAATAAGTTCAGATATGCATTATACAGTTTTGGTAAGCCAATAAACATTGGAACTTCTTTAATAATCTATTTTAGAAAAAAGTTAGTTCAACATTCTGGATGGGAAATAAAGCTACTTATATTCTTCCAAAATGTTATATTAATGACCATTGATAAATGACCCATGGCAAGGTCCTAGGCTGGGTGCTGCCACTGATGAGGTCTTAAAGAAGATATTTACTTCTCTGGGCCTCAATTTCTTTGTCTGCAAAATGGAGGTGAGGCTAAATCAGCAGCTCCCAGACTTGTGATACTAGTGGATTAGTAAAATTAAAAGCAATTGACATAGAATGGATAACCTTTGTAAATTGTGCCAAATAAGAGCATTTTAAAATGCAAACTTCTACCACTGTTATCCTCATCATTTTATTAAGGAAGGATTTTGAATACTCAAAAGTAGAACAGTGTAATCTCAGAATAATACCAGCCTTTTAAATGAAATAAATTTAGATTTAAAAAACGACTACATTGTCCTCATTTATCTTATTTATCTACAGACTTGTAAAAAATTAATAAAAACTGAGTACTTATCCTCCAGCAGTGTTTTGAAATCACAGGTTACAATGATCTCCACGATTTACTTTCTTTCTCACTCATAGCCCAAAATGCTAAATTGGATATTATAATCTTAGAATCTCATTGGTTACTTCTTTGTTTATTTTTTATTTATTTTCAATCCTTTTTCCACCACAGACACTCTTACTTACCTAAATTTCTATGTTAAGGGCATATTTATATTTCTACAGGTAAATCTACAGGTTTATAATAAGTCACTTATTTTCTTTATGTAATTGTATAAGTGCTAAATGATAATAGTTATCTACTGTTTTAGACCTTTATCATGTCATTATTGAGTGTATAAAATATAAGAAACATACTTCAAGAAGGACAGATGAGATTCTCTTCTGTAAATGTTGTGTCAGACATTGGAGAATGGCCTAACTTGTTTTCCCATATAGAGCTTTATTTCACAAATCTATCTGATTTCTGGAGAAATTATTTGCTCTTTCTAAAACCATGTTACAGGCAAATAAAATCTAGTTTTAACACTTTTTTGAAATTAAGTTTTAGAGAAAAAATTTTTCACACTTCTTTGCCATCTTAAAAGAACAATGTGCGAACTTTAACTTTTTTTTTTTTTGATAACTAAGATCATGGCTATAAATGCCAAATACTGTGACTCTGGGCTTCACTAAGGTGAGCAGTGTGGTTTGTTCCTCTACTGAATGCCCTTACATGACTATACTATGCTACTATAATGAACATTCTATGTACTAGAAACTGTATTATTTTGCAAGCATTATCTCATGAGATCTTTAAAATAAACATATTAGGACATGGACATCTTTGAGGTTCATGATTCTGCCTATCACAGTTACCCAGTTTTTTTTAATAAGGAGACCAGGTGAAATAATTTGCATAAACAAGAAGGTAGAAGAGTCAGACCTGAAAACAGACTTTCCATTCTTAGAGCCCATCTTACTGACTACTAATTTTTCCCACAATTTTTATGGCTCTGTCTCTTCCCTCAATAATTTCTGTCTCATTCATTTCCTATTATTTTAACAATACCATGTCTATGTACATACAAGTAATTTATAGCTTGTGATGCATAGCTAGCCCCACACCAGAAAATCAAGGCTATTAGAATTAATGTTGAAATAAGGAAAAGGCTTTGAATCCTGGTAGGTTTCTCTGCAAATATAGTTTATTATTTGAATACTTGATTTCATGACATTGTATGTGTCTTCTTACAGACCTTCTTGCTTATTTTCAGATTCTCTTTCATTTGAGAACACCACACCCTTGATATGAAGCACTAAGTGATGTGGTACTGCATATGATATAAATTTAGTACCTATGTTATCTGCTTTATTGTCTATTGTTTTATGTATCTTCTGTTTATCTAACCATAGTCTATAGCTATATTGCACTATATTATTTCTCCCATAAAGTGAAAGAGTATCAACTCCTTAGTAAGGTCCTTCCATTTCTTTCCTTATTCCTGCATGACATCAACATTTAACTTGTGGTATTCCCATACAAAAAGCAATGATAATCATGATAACTTAAAGCCATACTATATTTTAAAATTCAACCTTAGTTAATAATGACAGACATCGTGTTTTTTTGAAAAGAGATTCTGAGATGAAAATTTACCTGCAGATGGTTTACTAGTGAGTGCTCTTTGTAACAGCACTTTGAAGAGTGAGAGCAGTTTAAGCACAGAGAGTAGTTAAATTGAATGCAGTTGTCATGAGGCTTCAGCCAATACCACAGAAAGCTCTCAAAGTGAGATTGCATTTCAGAGATGCTCCAAATTGAGGCAGGAGGACTGGGTCTTTGCACTCCTGCCTTACGTAGTTATTGGATGAAGGCTTTCCTTGGAAGAAGGCACAGTCTTGAGTAGGACTCAGCTGAGAGCCATCAGCAGGCTACACTACCAACAGATGTGGGAACGACTGCCTTGACCCTTAAAGGGGACATGGCTCCCAGGGCATAGGTTTTGATAGACAAGAGCAATACTTTTAAAAGAAAGAGGGAAGCAAGACGGATACCCAATATATGATGCAGTTTCTACAGAAGTTCCCAGACAATTCGAATTGAGGTAAGGGAATTTATGCCTTTATTGTTCAGTCAGTATCTAACAATCACTGGAAGTGAGCAACATCACTTTGGGTGAGTCAGCTCCCTTGAGTAGTTCACAATGCCTAGAAAAAGACTCAGTTGTGAGTCATCAGTAGGCAATGATCTTACTAGCTAAGGTAAGATCATTTTTGTCTGGAATAAGAACTCATGCTTACTGACCCAATGATATCTTTCAAGGTAAATTCTTGGCTATCTGCCCTTTCAGTAGACTACCCAAAAATATTAGAAAGAGCTTCTAACTTCTGTAACCACATTATCCATTACAAATAAATATTGATTTATAGTCTAGAAATACTTAAACCTATTATCTTCTTCAGATTCAGTCATTTATTTATCTTGCATTCAGCAAATATTCTTAAAATAACTAACGAGTACTCATTAAGCATTGGGCTGGGTGATGGGAAATAGCAGTATATGTTACACCAAGACACAAAGACAAAATGAGGTCCTTCCTTCGCGGAAATTACATTTTTATAAGGAAAGCAGGCAATGAACTGCTATTAATTCACTTAGTTAATATTTTTATTAAGCCTCTATTATTTTAAAGATGCTTCTCTAAATTCTAGATACATCACAATGAATAAGACAGTGTGTCTGTACTCTCAAAGATCCAATGTATTAGTGGGAGAGATGGAAATTATAAGTGACCAAGTAAAAGAATATAACACTTCCAAATAGTGATAAGTGCTATGGAGAAAACAACAATCAGTTGTAATGTAAAAATGCTATATAATGCTAATGTAATGTAAAAATGCTATGGAGAAAATAACAAACAGTAATGTGATGGGAAATCAAAGGGATAGAGGATAGTTCAAGAAAGGAATGGCTAAGCAGGTGACACTTGAGATGAAACTTGAATGATGAGACCAAGCCTGCCATGTAAAGGCCAGAGGGAAATGTGCTCAAGCATAGGTGACAAGTGAATGTCCTGAGGGAAACAGGAAAACAGCTGACAGATGTATGGTTGGGCAGAGTGAGGAGAGGGGGTAGATGGTGATGTTAGTAGGCAGCCCTTGTAGGCCATGGGAAAAGTTTGACTCTTTTTCTAAGCGTTGGGAAACTACTGGAGGATTTTAAGTAGGTACAGACTAAACCTGACAAGTTTCGGGAAAAGGTTTTAATGAATACAATGAAAAAATCAGATATGCGAGGATGCATGTGGACGCAGGTGCTCCTGTCAGAGGGATACTGCAGTAGCCTAGTTAGCAATGTTGGTGATGGGATGGCATAATAACGTTAGAGATGGAAATCAATGAACGTTTATGGAATAATTTTGGAGACAGAGGTGACTGGCTGATAGGCTGAGCACAGGGGGGAAAGAGAGGAATCAAGGATGATTCTATTTTCACTTGAGCCTACAACAGACAAATAAAAAAATGGGATAATAATAGAAGTGGTAAGTACTCTGAGGATGATGTGGTAGGGGGTGATGGGAGCAATATTACTCCACCTGGAGATAGTGTGGTCACAGAAGGATTTTTGTGAAGGTTGCATTTAAGCAGAGATCTGTGGCATGAGAAGGAGCTGGTCATTGAAAAATCTGAGGTTGGAGTGAACAGTTGAAAGGGAAAAGTCCTGACACCAGGACAAGGAATTGGAATCAACAGTAGCCTATTATAACTGGAGCACAGTGAGAGAGGGGAAATATGCTGGGATACGGTTGCAAAGCAAAGCAAGAACCATAAAATAACTACTTAGGACTTTGTTCCTAAACCTGTATTTAAATCAGTAAATTCATTGATTAGATAAAAAGCTCTGAGTGGAAACTGGAAGACGACCAGCATGGCTGGGGACTCAGTGAAGTTCTCAGAACTCCCAGTATTTGGCAGAGCTGATTTGTTTTAACACTTCTTATTTCCTAGGGCCACTTAGAGATCTTTTACTTGTGCTTAAAGATTCCATATGACCGAGTAAATAAAAAGTTCATTTGTGGCTTTTAGTTGTAAACTTAGAATTAATTTTTGGCAGATTTACTAACAATAATAATATAGAACACATGTAATGTTCAAAATACTTTCCATTTTCAACATTTTTTGTAAGACAATGCAAACGTTATTATCCTCATTTTATCAATGAGCTAAAGTGAGTCATGATGTAGTTTAGTGGACTTGGCCAAAATAAATTCCTAATTAATGGAGGAATTAGGATTAGAATCCAGGTCCTTTGTTTCTTAGTCCAGATTCCCTGCTGACACACCCTTTTTTCTCTGTAAATGATGAATCATCACAAAAATAATGTTTAGCAGAACACAATTTTGGACTCTTACTTGGTGTGAGCAAGACTACACAGAGAAGTTGCCGAAAACAGCTTTCTGCACAGCAGGGAATGCTTGAAGACAAAATGGGGAGGAAGAAGCAAACAGGAAAACTCACCAGAAAGTTAAAGGAGAATATTGTTTAAGCCTTTTTCTTCTACTTTTATTTCTAGTCTTTCCGTTTCCTGGAAAATGCCCGTTTTTCTAAGATTGAGAAAAAAAATTAAAATACTGGTCTCTCGCATACCTACTTTCCAACTAGGAAGTTGGTTCTTACACTATTTCTTTCTTTTTATAGTACTTCTTTCCATTTTAACCATATAGGGTGACTATAGATGTGTGTGTGTGTGTGTGTCTGTGTGTGTGTGTGTGTGTGTGTGTGTGTGTGTGTGTACCACTTAGGTTTTAAGTATCTGGAGGGCAGAAATGTATCATTTAGGCATTTGGTTCATGTTACAGTACATTGTGTGAATACTTGACAAGAGTTTTACCTGGCTAGGTGATTGAGCTTTTTTCTTTTAGGTAAGCAATTATAAAAGGACAGTTATTACTTATCATTGTTTCATTACCTAATAAGTGCCTATCCAAAGAATATAGGCATCCTATCTGAAGGTGGGTCTCAATGTGTTCGAATGGGTGCATGTTTAAGTGGGCTGGAGAACTCACATTGATCATAGGCTATGGCTGACTTGACAAAAAGGAGTATAGACCAAAGGCATGTGCCCAAAATAAAACTTCTTGTGAAATTATTCTTTAAAAAGCATTAGCTGGAAATTTGGTTGAATAAGTCTGCAATAACGGCATTAGATCTTTTTGTATTAACTGGCCCTTCAGTAGTAAATGTGTAAGACCCTTACTTTAAATTTATCCAGTGTCTTGAAAATGCATTATTGGGTTCATATAGAAAAACAACTTGACTTTTCTCAATAGTCTGTTTAAGTATATATAGATTCTTCTGTAGTATGAACTTTTGGGGCATATGTGGATAATTGTGAGATTCTCTTATGTTTTTAGTTTTTCCATCTGAAACAGAAAACCACAATCCTTCTTCACCTTGTCAGTCAGTTAACTGCTACAATTAGATGAGCGAACCTAAAATCAATAATGGAAAAAAAAGAGATTACTCAGAAGATTTATTATCATAGGTAGAAAAGTTAGATGTGTCTTTACATTATTATTTTTACTTTAACAGTTTAAAATATTAATGATAACAGCATTATTAAGTAGTATGGGGCTATTTATTTTAACTATAGTTTAAAATATTAATGATAATAATATTATTAAGTAGTATGGGGCTACTTATTTTTAACTATCTCTTTGATGTGGTTGAAACAAACTCTAAGATGAAAGTAATTTCTTTGTTCTCCTCCCCAAACTTTCCCATTTGATCACAGCTACTTACCTGAAACTCACTTACGGTTCCTATTGACAGTCCTGAAAAGATATGTTTGAAAATGTCTTCTTTGAGCAGTCCAAAGTTTCACATGCTGTATACCTCTGTGCTCTCTCTTTCTCTCTATTTAATGAGTGTTAAAAATCACAATTAATGTTTTGGTTGTTTCAAGACCATGAAAAATATTCATCTATTAAGATGAACATTTTTCAGATACAGGTTCTTATCAAAGAGAAATAACATTTTTTTAAAGCTGAAAAATTGAATATAGATATATTGAGTAACAAGAAAGAAGCAAACACTTCTTTGCTTACCTCTCTCTGTTACATCATGTGAGCATTATACATGCACTTGTACTACTTTACCCTTCCCTGCTTTGAAAATTAAAATAGTTTGCATAAATCATTTTTGGCAAATAACTACCATAAAATATACTTTATATAAAGTATGAGCTTCAATACACTGTGGTGACACTCCAGGAAACACTTTGGAACCTCTCTAAGAAGATTTTCAGAAGTTGAGAGGGATTTGTTTCAGGCATGACATAAAATATAAAAATTGAATTTCTTGCACAAACTTAAAACCAAAACATCATATAACCTCTCTGTGTTTTGGACCTATCATGTCTGTCTATTTGGATAAAAACTATTGGATGCACATTTTTTGGTGAGCTGTCAACAGTGAAGCATGAAAACAGATGTGTTTCTGCTATTTTCATTATTAGGGAAATAAAAGCAGCTGTGCTGGGCTGGTGTGCGAAGGAGGCTCTCAGTGAGGCCTTCACACTCAAGAAGCTGGAAAACCTGGCAGTGTGGACCACTGGGGAGAAATTCTGGGCATTGCTGAGGATTTCATTCCTTTCTGGAGTTGTTGGTTGTTTTTCTGATATCAAAGCTCTATGTGAGAATATATGCTAAAGCTAGATAAAGTCATTATGGCTTTAATTTGCATATGGCAATATGAAAGACTATTTTAGAACTGCACTTTTTCGGAATCTGAGACTCTGTCACTTTAACAAGTGAATGTTGCTTATTATATTTGTGTTGGGGGATGGTCAGTGAGAGGTACAAACTGATGAAACTGCTTTGATATAGTTCTGCTAAGACTATCTAGACAAAGAGGACCAAATATGTGTTTTCTAGACACAATACACACAATGGGGAAAAAAATCCAGCGTATTTGGTGAAAGAAAAATAAATCAAAGTATAAAAACAGTCTTCTTTTATGCAATTACAGAACTGACAATAACCAGATGCTAGGGTTTTTTTTTTTTTTTTTTTTTTTTTTTTTTTTTTTGCATCAAATTGGTCTTCTTTGTGCGGAGGGGCTATTTTGGGTCCAGTTTGGAAAATCTGTCACAGAAGTTTACTTGTCTCAAGCTTTTGCTTCCTTCTGTAGGTGTCTGGTGTTTGTGTTTGTATGTGGAAAGAGGAATGGGGAGGAGGATTTTGTGTGTGCATCTGCATGTGTGTGCGTAAGGCTACTTATATATGTGCGTATTAGGTCCATTTTCATGCTGCTAATAACAACATACCTGACATTGGGTAATTTATAAAAGAAAGAGGTTTAATTGATTCACACTTCTTCATGGCTGGGGAGATCTCGGGAAACTTGCAATCACGGTGGAAGGGGAAGCAAACATATCCTTCTTCACATGGCCGCAGCAAGAAGAAGTGCCGAGCAAAAGGGGAAAATCCCCTTATAAAACCATCAGATCTCATGAGAACTCACTCACTATCATGAGAACAGCATGAGGGTAACTGCCCCCATGATTCAATTACCTCCCATCACGTCCCTCCCAAGACACGTGGGGATTATGGAAACTACAATTCAAGATGAGATTTGGGTGGGGACACAGCCAAACAATATCAATGTGGCTACGTGCTTTTCCTGCCTTTACATAGAACAGAAGTTATCTCTTGGCAAAGAGAACAGAGACAAAATGAGAGAACAATGAAACTAGATTTCTCTATATTGATCTGAAGTTTGAACTGATGTTATACTAATGATCAGGATAAAAGATTAAAGCAAAGAGACTGATAAAAGGGAACAGTGACATATTTCACTCTATGCAAAATTATGTAAGTACTGCATTTATTTATAGTATCTTGAGAAATTTTCCCAAGGGGAGAAATGTAAATGGACTACAGATAATCAGAAAAAGTACTAAATTTAAGAGTGTAGGTTTTGCTTTAAAATATAGATACTATGGTTTCTTTAGGTAACTATGATAATAGCTCACCACTCTAGCCTTAATTTGTCAGAATCTGCAAGTGAGGTATAGCTACAGGTGTTTCTAATGAGAAATGAAATTCTGTGGTGTCTTTGTATTCATTCTTACAAACAGCTTGTGTGCAATAATCTACTAAATTTGATTTACTCTTCCTCTTTTTTTTTTTTTTTTTTTTTTTTGATACAGGGTGTCACACATTTGTCCAGGCTGGAGTGCAGTGGCGTGAACGTGGTTCACTGCAGTCTCTAACTCCTGGGCTCAAGGGATCCTCCTGCCTCAGTCTCTTGAGTAGCTACAGTAGTTCACCACTGCACCTAGATAATTATAATTTTTTTTTTTTTTGTAAAGACAGGGTCTCCATATATTTCCCAGGCTGGTTTCAAACTTCTGTCCTCAAGCAATCGATTCTCCCACCTCAACCTCTCAAAGTGCTGGGATTATATGTGTGAGCCACCGCACTGGGCCATAAATTTTAAAAGGCTGTTTATGAAGCAATTTTAAGAGGAGAGTAAAGAAGAAGACCAAATTTAGGTATGGATTTCAAAAAGCCTTGGCAAGATCTCTAAAACTTTTGCCCACACAAGCAATTGTAGAGAGCTACTCAGAGTCTTTCTTTCCCAGGTGAATATTTCTGATGCTACAAATTTAGCTCAAATATTAATTTTTATTTTCATAACATTCCCATTCTCTCCTCTTTCAGTCTCTCTCTCTCTCTTTTCCCTATTATATCTGTCTTTAAATTTATATTACTACTAGCTTATACTCGACCAAGCTTAGAACAACCCAGTGTGAGAAAATGGTTTAAACATCACAGTTATGGAATGGTTATTAGGAATGCTGGTTCAAACATGCTGCTTATCTGATCAACTCTCAATGAAGGGCTTTTTAAAATTTTAACACAAATTTTGTAGCATTCTATTGATTCATATTTTGATTCTCAAAAATAACTATTTCCAGGTTGTCCCTACTGAGTATTTTGGACTCGTATATTGAATGGAAACTCAGGGAACACCACCTGTAAGAGCAGGAGGTAAAGGCAGATGCGAGGGAGGGAGGGAAAGTAGCAGCCTCAGGTTCTCCATTCTCCAGGGAGAAACTCCAGAGATACAAATGCCCACCAAACCCACAGCAAGGCCTTCTGGGAGTAACTTCTAAGTTTTTGTCTCTCTCACTCTCTCATATTCCTACCTTCTCCTAGGACATTCACTTCCCTTTTCTTTGAAACCTATAATATTGGGATCGACCTAAACTTTGTATAGGTGTTCAAATCTATTGTAAAATTCACTGTTTGACCTATTGCAATATGGGCTCTTTCCCTTCCCCTCCAAGTAATTCTCTTACACCACTCCATTCTCCTCCTACTTCTCTGACTTCCCTTGGTTTCATGAGGGGCTTCTTTTTTTAATGTCTTCTAAACTTTTGATGATCTTGTTTTTTTTGTTTGTTTGTTTGTTTTTTGTTTGTTTGGTTTTTTTTCTTTCACATACTTTATCTGAAAGATGTCATTTTATTTCAGGGTATTATCTACGGCCTATTAAAGACTTCCACAATGGATTTTTCCAGTATAGACTTCTCCTGGGAAAAAAACATATTTATCTCCTTCGAATATCTATGCCTGAAATTCAGTCTCTTTCATCTCAACCTCCTCAATCAGTCTCCCTTCCCTGCTCCTTCTCCTGTGACCTTCTCTACAACCCTTTCTCTTATATCATTCACTGCTGAACTACTACCAAATCATGCAGATGTTATTTTAAAAATATTTCTTGATCCTGATATCACCTGAAGAAAATCAAAAGTTCTCCTCCTAGAATATGGCTTCCTGAGGGTAATGAGTGTTTTAAATTAAAAGCCCTTAGAGATCAACAGGCGTTGGAAGAGACTTTTCCCCCATCTACATAAAGATAGGACCCATCAAGGAGAACATTTCTTCTTGTTCCCCTCCCCACATTATCTTATTATCCATTATAGGAAAGAAGACCAAAAAAATATAACTACACCTGAACAGACCCTTTTTCAAGATAATGACTGTCTTCAAGGAACATTTAAATTCCAAAGAGAACTATTTTCACAAGTTAATTTCTGATCTCCGTCCAATCTTTTTCCCTAGTAATTATTTATTGTTCCTTAATAGAATTTCTCTTCCCTCTTTCCACAACCTGTTTTACCAGGCAGGGTCCAAGCTCCATTCTTTCTGTAACCTCAAGATGGTATATACGCTCATGTACCACATTTGGAAAGTTGGGTCTTCATTCTAAAGGCTCCCCTGTGCATATGTTAAATAAATTGTATGTCTTTTCTCCTATTAATCTGCCTTTTGCAAGCTGATTTTTTTCCAGAGAACCTTCTGAAGGCCAGTGGGAAAGTTGGACCCAACATACTTTTCTCATCGCTTCTTGCCTGGATTACTGTAGTAACCTTCTAGCTCGTCTCCCTGTCTCAAAATGTTTGTTACTGAAGCCCATGCCTCACACCACTATCAAAGTGGACCATCAAAAATCCATTTTGCTACCATCTGATTCAAACCATAAAATCGCTCTACTTGACCAAGTATATACATTTCCTACTAACTAGACACCTCTACATTTCAGTCCTCCTCCCCATCCCAGTTTGTTGCCAATGCTTCTTTTCGCACTTTATTTCTCTTACCTTCATGCCCTTGTTCCTGCTGTTTTCTCTGAATCATCCTTCCCTCTTATCTTCATCTAACTGTTGCTCACTCATTAATGTATCAACTCCTTCACAATGCCTTCCTGACTACTCTTCAGGACCGTCACCCTCCTGAAGGGGTAAGATTTCCTCCATGGTTTGGGGCCTCATGATCAAAACAACTGCTTCTGCACCTTAAACTGAAGCGATGATACAGAGTAGCACTGAATCGGTGTTAATAAGCAGGCAATAAGGCTATAGCCCCCAAGCCTCTATATTTTTCTAAAAAATTGGAAAACAGCCAAGTGGCAAAGGTTAAATTAAGGGAAGTGCATCTTCATTCAAGGCAAGTATTTTAAACAGCCTCTAGGTAGCATCTGTTATGTGAAGAAAGTTGAGGGTGGTGAGTAGGAGGGTGGGGACCGGGGTGGGCAGTGAGGTGTGAACAAGAGAGAAAATAGTAAATAAAAAGAAGGCGTGATTTCAGGTTTTAAAATTATGTCCAAAACTTTGGCTATGGTTACTCCCAAATAGAACTGAGTAAGAACGAAAACATGGAAACCTATTAAGCTTTTGAAGACTTTATGTTGTCAAAGAATCCACATGTTATGCTTACAAAGACTTCTAATTATTCAAATCCTAAATCAGACAATTCTGTAAGCCAGATTGCAAAGTTGGGCAGCCATCAAACATACATACTACTTTCAACATGTCCAGAGAGAATGAAAGATAGACTTGAAAGGTACTTCGCAGAGGCCAAAGCCATGAGGTCATGGAAAACAGAGTACTGGAGAGCTCCTCACAGAGAACAGCGTGCTGGAGAGCTTCTCACAGAGGTAAGAATCAGTGACAGTCAGACAGGCTCTATAAGAAACTTACTCTAAGGGAAGGAATCTTTGCAGTTCATATCCAACAGCCCTTGATAATCCCTGTGGACAGATGACTGACATTTCTCATTTTTTCCTATTTAAAACAGATATTATTACAGATCTCCTGGTCTTAATCCACCATTGTAAACTTAGTGTGTGTGTATTGGTAGAGGGGGCAGGGTGGTGGGGAACATATTTTCTTTCATTTCATAGGTTGCCAGGTGCTGAATGGGACTTAGAGAGGCTTTAATATATTCCTTATATGACACTTAGGTAAGCAAAAGAATGGATTGTGGGAAAGATGATTTTCTTCTTATCCATGGTAATGAAATCTTACCTTTTACAAGGCCATCCAAAATAAAGAGTACATGTGTAGCTTTTTTTGCAGCTGGTTGGTTGTGTTGATATGACTTTGTTCTGGCTTCTAGAACAAAAAGAGTATGTGCTTCTAGGTTTTTCTCTTAAAAGGATATCCTTCCCTTGCTCCCTTTTCCTTTCCCAGTTGTGGGAAAGTAAGGGCTGGGCATCATTTGCAAGATGGAAGCCACATATTGTGAAGGTTGGAGCACTGATGTAGATGGAGGATTTATTCTTGAGGCTTGTGGAACTATGATGCAAGCCAAATGACTTGTTTGGGGATTTGGGGACCTTCTTTATCCCATCATCAAACCAGTATCATAATTAATGTAAATTAAAGATAAAAAGTATCCAAATAGGCCAACATAATTAATTCAACTTTATTATTAAACCATGTGTTCATTTGAAGAGTTTTGTGATTTTTACTTTTTCAAAAGCAATTCCAAACTTTCTCCAGAATCTGCAATAGCAAAATCACACATGTATACACAGTTATTTTTCCTTTCACCCACCATCAATTTACTTGAGGGGTATAGTGAGATATAGACTGGAAGTAGGACACCATTGGTGGACAGATGAAAATGAGATAATCAGATTCCACCCTCTTTGGATGTGTATTTTTGGCTCCTTTGAATTCAAATGGCAGATACTTATATTGTTGCATGTTTTTGTTAAATATTAACTTATAGTGGCCCAAATCACCAAGAGTTGAATTGCAAATGAATACAAAAATGATGAAAAGTGAACTTAATTCGAGAAATTTAGGGAAGGGATAGGAGTAAGTACATTTATGAGAGAGCTGAAACGTTGAAGGCCAGGGATTTCCTTGACTCTGGAAATAAGAGAAAATTCTAAAGGCCAATTCATTTGAGCCTGGTCAATATATTGCGAGGGAACTAGATAGTTCTCTTCTCTCTATCTGTGTCCTCTCCTTCCTTGGCTGGAGAGATTATCCTGGATTATCTGTGTGAGCTGTAAATGCCATCAAATTTTCCTTGTAAGACAGAGGCATGGCCGGGCATGGTGGCTCATGCCTGTAATACTAACACTTTGGGAGGCTGAGGCAGGTAGATCACCTGAGGTTAGGAGTTCAAGACCAGCCTGGCCAACATGGTGAAACCTCATCTCTGCTAAAAATACAAAAATTAGCTGGGCATGGTGGTGCTTCACTGTAATCCCAGCTACTCTGGAGGCTGAGGCAAGAGAATCTTTTGAACCCAGGAGGCAGAGGTTGTGGTGAGCCAAGATCATGCCATTGCACTCTAGCCTGGGCAAGAGTGAGACTCTATCTAAAAAAAAAAAAAGAGAGAGAGGAAGAGAGGCAGAGGGAGATTTGACACATAGGGAAGAGTATGTAAAGACAGCAGCAGAGATTGCAGGGATGCAGGCACAAGCCACGGAATGCCAATGAATGCTAGCAGCCACCAGAATCTAGAAAATGCAAGGAACAAGTTCTTCCTCAGAACCTCTATACAGAAGGTCGCCTTGCCCACATCTGATTTTGGTCGTCTGGCTTCCAGGACTGTGACAGAATACTTTTCTGTTGTTTTTAGCTACCAAGGCTGTAGTGAATTTTTTTTTTTTTACAGCAGCTTAAGGATATTAATACAGTGGGCAAGTTATAACTAGATAGCATACTTTGACTTGTCTTCTTTTAAATAATTGTATACCTCAAGGTTACTCACTAATTCATTCCATTTTCTCTGTAAGTAGAGTTCTTTTCTGTAATTGACTGTGGGTGCACATGTGTGTATATGTAGTCATGCTGACTTTGCCCTTTCAGTATTTAAGTAGACAGAGTGATTCTATGGCAATCTTTTCTACATGCCTCATTCTTTCTTGCTCTTTATGACTTCAGTTTTTCGAGCCTGTTTTTGTCAAAAAAATAAAGTTATAAGTAAGTTAATTACTTCAAGTAGTTTCATCTATTACCCCTGCTCTTTGCTGATACATGCAAATACAATTACTGCTTTGCCTGGTCTGGCAGTAGGATAGACATCTGATGGATGAAGTTCTTTATAAGGTATTTTACTTTTCTAAGCATTGCATAGGCTTTTCTTAGGGTCATATCCACGATGGATAGACTATATGTTTTCAAAAAGTGAACAGCTAAGATTTAGAAGTCAGCAAATTGGTCTATAGACAAGGTCAGTCAAAGTCTTTGCTGTATTAAGTCTATGCTCTACTGGGGAAGACGTACAAGAGAGGTATGGATAATATTTGACAAATGTTAAATTACTGTGTTTGTATCCCTCTCCCCCATAAACCATGTTTCATCACAGTGATTTTATTGGGGTTGCGCATGGAAAGGAGGTGTTGACAAATGCTTCAGGAAGAAGGAAGACACAGACATAGTGAAAGTCTATGTCACAAAGCAGGCAGACAGAACACTCCCTTCTTTCACTGGCTTATGGGCAGAAAAAGAGAAAGAAAACATAAGATATCATGAGAAGGAAAACAGTCAGACATGGGGTTTTGATGAAGGATGTGCCCTTTAAGGAAAATTAAGGCAACAAGGGTTTTGGCCCGGCCGCCCATTAGGTCTCTGGGAGGAGCCCATGAACGGAGTGGCCACACAAAATGAAATGGCCCACATCAGGTAAGTAGGTGGATTGGCATACACACACTGAGTCAGAGTTCTGTTTTTCCTCCTGAAACTCCCTTAGGTACTGTGTAATGTGAATGCTGAGTTGACAGCCCAGTCCCTGGCCAAGCCAAGCACACTCAACCACAAGCTCATCAGATATAGATGTCAGCAGCAGACACTAACAGAAAGCCCAAGGGTGGGACTGAGCCAACCACAGCTCACTGGATCCCAGCCAAGTACACAAACAAGGCAGCACAGGATGGTGGTTAAAGACATGGGTTATGGAGCAGTCTGCCTGGATACAATTCTTGTCTCTGTAGTAATTTTGCATAAATCATATTGCCTCTCTCTGCCTCAGTTTCTCCAACTGTAAATCTTAATAAAGGTTGGAATGCTCTTAGACTTATAATGGGATTATGGCCCAATAAGCCCATTGTAAATTGAAAATATCATAAGCTAAAAGTGCATTTAATAGGCCGCACACGGTGGCTTACACCTGTAATCCCAGCACTTTGGGAGGCCGAGGTTGGTGATCACCTGAGGTCAGGAGTTCTAGACTAGCTTGGCCAACATGGTGAAACCCCATCTCTACTGAAAATACAAAAATTAGCTGGGCATGGTGATGCATGCCTGTAATCCCAGCTACTCAGGAGGCTGAGGCGGGAGAATCACTTGAACCCTGAAGGCAGAGGTTGCAGTGAGCCAAGATGGCACCACTGTACTCCAGCCTGGGCAACAGAGAGACTCCGTCTCAAAAAAAAAAAAAAAAGTGCATTTAATATATCTAACCCACTGAACATTATAGCTTAGCCCAGACTTCCTTAATTAAATGTGCTCAGAACACTGACATTAGCCTATGGTTGGGCAAACTCATCTTACACAAAGCCTATTTTATAATGTGTTGAATATCCCATGTAATTTATTGAATACTGTAGTGAAAGTGAAAAACAGAATGGCTTTATGGGTACTCAAAGTAGGATTTCTACTGAATGTGTATTGCATTCACACCATCATAAAGTCAAGAAGCTTTAAGATAAATTATTGTAGGACAGGAACTGTCTGTGTTTACCTGACAGAGTTGTTGTGATGATTAAATTAAGCAATGCATGTAATCAACTTAGAACAATTCTGGGATTATAATAATCATTCATTAAACATGCTTGAGTTACCCAAGAACCAGCATGAGACCAGGAAATTCCCTTTCCATATTGCTGTGATGACACATAAATACTTCCCCTTTTCCAACTTGAGGAAAGCAAGGAGTTCAGAAGATACATGTAAAAGATGAAATAATTATTTCAAACAAATCTAGAGACGATTTAAACCCTTGGATTGAATTAAGTTTTAAAGTGAAATATACTACATAGAATTTCTTTTTCACTTTTCCTTGCTACTAGCTGGTGTGGTTGGGGACAGGCTCATGAGTAAGACCACGTTAGTTAATAGACTAAGAAAAAAATACTTCATTTTCTTTGCCTTTAATAAATTGTAGTATAGATTAAAGCCTGGTTCTGGGCCCAAGTAAATGAATGACCATTTTCTGATAGTAATGATTTGTGACAAAACTTCAGGTGAATAAAATCATGTATAATAACGGGTCAAAGCAGGAACTTTAGAGCCAGGGAAGAACTCCCTGAGAAGGTAACATTGGAGCTTAGACTTGAATTTGAGAAGGAGCCACACTGACTTATATTTGGAGGAAGAGCTTTTCAGATAGATGGAGTAGCAATGCAAAGGTCTGTTGGCCACAATGAATTGCTGTGTTTTCAGAACAGAGGGAGAGCCAATGTGCCCAGAATGATGGAGATGGAGGCATAGGCCATGGAAGTATTTCCAGGCTGTGGTAGGGAGTCTAGGTTTTATTCTAAAAGTAATGAGAAACCATATAATATTTTTAATCAAAGAGTAAGATGACAGATTTACATTTTTACAAGTCACTTATATGCATGGAATATGGATTCTAAAGGGAAATTAGTGGAAGAGATGTAGATTGTCCACTGTAGGTAATCCAGACAAGTGAACCTGGTTTGAACTAGGGTGATGGCAGTGCATATGGGAGAAAGTGGGTGGATACAGAATATATTTGAGTAGTGGAGACAACAGTTTGTGCTGATGCATTAGTTGTGAAGTTGAGAAATTAACAACTTCTTGAATTTTGGCCTTGGCATTGGTGGACAAAAATAAATACCCCTTACCGAGGTGAGAAAGAATGGTTTTTGGGGTTTGTGGCCACAAGACAGAACAGGCATCAAATATTCTGTTTTGAATGTATTTAATTTAAGGTGCTTAGTACATAGCCAAGTATAAACACCAAAAAAGTAAAAAGTATGAATAAATCTAGAGCTCTCAGTAAAATTCATGGCTTTAACATCTAAATTTAGGTGTCACCATCCGTATAGATAGATTTGGCATCATGGGACCATAAGCAATCATCTATTTGGAGAATGTAGATAAAGAAGAGGAGAGTGCTCAGATCTATTTAGGATAAAGCAAAACCAAAACACAACACGTAAAGAACAAAAATGTTTCTTCATCTGTCTTTTGTGTATCTGCCAATACAGTGGAAAAGTGCACGCAGGGTACAAGCTAAACTTGGAACACTGATTCTGACATGGTTGTGGGATTGGAGGAAGTTGAAGGAAAATGTTACCTTTCTGCTGTATGCATTCTGTATTGTTTGAAGACACATGGCTTCAAACATGGAAAGTATCATGACTAATACATGTATCTTATAGATAATTTAGAAGATAATACCAAGCCAAAAAATAAAAGAAACTTTATTCATAACCCCACCCTCAGAAGCAACTACTGCTAACATTTTAACATATAGCCTTCTGGGCTTTTTCTTGTACAAATGTATTTAGATATAGAACCTTAAGTATTTTATTTTTAGTATTTCACAAAAAAAGTTCTCCAGAGTTTGTGTTGTCAGTTTTCATTCTATCACAAGTTGATTTTTCTGAACTCCTAAGTTTTGATACCATTTATACTTCTGATCCAGAGTTTCATTCTGCTTATCCTACTTTTATATCCTTTGACTACTTGTAGTTCCATTTGTGTGCCCTCTCAGAAGCCCAGATTTAATGTATCACACTTGAAATGTATGTTTCCCCAATCTGCACATTCTGAATTTTCCAAACCAGAATTTTCAGGCAGGTTCTTATCCTTGACCTATTCCATTCTCTTACTTTCCATATCTAAAGAGTTAACATGTTCTATATCTTTTATACTCTGTACATCCTTTAAATCCAAATTTAGATATCCTTATTGCCACTGCTTACATTCAAGCTTTTAATGTTTTTATTGTTGTGACAGCTATTTAATTCTTTTGTTGCTGTGTTGTAATCTGATTTTTCTTAAAAAGTAAACCTGAGTATGTCACTCTCTCATCTAAAGCTTCTCAATGACAACCTACTGCCTTCAGGATAAAAGCTGAACTCCATAGTTTCACACAAGCCATTTCCTGATGGGGTTCCTCTGCCTTGGCTGCATTGTATCTTATCACCTTCCTTCTTGCATCTTTATCTCTAGTCACAGGGAGGCACCTGCAGTTTCCAGAATATAATCCAGCCTCCAATTTACCTACAGTTTCTGACAGACTCCCTGGAACCAAATAGTCGTTCAATACATGCTTATTGAATACAAAAATATAAGTTTAAGAAGGCCTCTAAAGCTTACAAGGTGGACATGAGAAGTAGCCGACTGTGTAGAGACGAAAAGTCCAAGTGAAAACATGAGCCGCAAATATCAAAAGGATTCAGAATCAGGAAGGATTATTTGAAACTATAGGGATGTAGTCTCCAGGGATTCATATTCGAATCCGGTGCTGTCCAATAGAAATATGATGTGAGTCACATAGCTAATTTTAAACTTCCTAGTAGCCACATTTTAAAAAATGAAAATAAACAAGTAAAAATAGCTTTATTAATATAATTAATATAGCCAATATATTGAAAATGTTTTCATTTCAACATGTAATTAATATTTAAAAATTAATATTAAAATCATTGAGATATGTTACTTTTTGAATACTAATCAAAATCTAGTACAGGTGTATATACATCACGTCATTACTTTTCTTTTTGAAGTTTTATTTATTTATTTATTTATTTAGAGACAGTCTCGCTCTGTCACCCAGACTGGAGTGCAGTGGTGTGATCTCGGTTCACTGCAACCTCCATCTCCTGGATTTAAGCGATTCTCCTGCCTCAGCCTCTTGAGTAGCTGGGATTACAGGCACATGCCACCACGCCCGGCTTATTTTTGTATTTTTAGTAGAGATGGGGTTTCACCATGTTGGTCAGGCTGGTCTCGAACTCCTGACTTTGTGATCTGCCTGCCTCAGCCTCTCAAAGTGCTGGGATTACAGGTGTAAGCCACCGTGCCTGGCTTAAAGTTTTTTTTTTAATCAACTTGATTAATAAAATAATTTTTCATTAAGTTGAAACAGTAAGATTTTTTGTTGTTGTTCTTTTTTTTTTTTTTTTTTTTGAGACAGGGTCTCACTGTGTCACCCAGGCTGGAGTGCAGTGGTGTGATCAAGGCTCACTGAAGCCTTGACCTCCCTAGGCTCAGTACTCCTCCCACCTCAGCCTCACAAGTGGCTGGTACTACAGGCGTGTGCCACTACACCTAGCTAATTTTTATATTTTTTGTAAAGATAGGGTTTCACCATGTTGCTGAGGCTGGCCTTGAACTGAGCTCAAACAATCCTCCCACCTCAGCCTCCCAAAGTGCTGGGATTACAGGCATGAGCCAGCATGCCCATCCTGGTATACAGTTCTGTAAATTTAACATATGTATAGAATCATGTAATCATCCATAAAAGAAGGATACAGAACAGCTGTATCACTCCAAAAAATTCTTTTTTAAAAATTGACATTTAATAATTGTACATATTTCTGGGATACATAGTGATGTTTTAATACATGCACTATATAGTAATCAGGTCAGGATAATTTGTATATCCATCTAAAACCTTCCTCATTTCTTTGTGTTGGGAGCATTCAATATCCTCCTTCTAGCTATTTGAAATTACATAATATATTATTGTTAACTATAGTCATCCTACAACTTACAGCACATAGTAATATACTCAATATATACAATATAATTAAGCCACATTCTCAATATAGAGTAGTCACATATATTGCTCATATGTACAATAGATAGTATACACATCATAATGCAGATTAGGGCTCCATAATCGCATGTGGCTAGTGACTACTGTATTCCTATAAAATCTTCTAATCTTCTACAGAGAAGAAGCTGGGGTGGGCGCAGGGGGATCTGTTGAATACCGTGTTGCTGTCATTGGAGTAAGAGCAAGCATCCAGAAGTTCAAGTTTGAGGGCTTTAGGAACATTAGTTCACTGTCTGTGGATGGGATTTGAGATGAGTCAGAAAAGTTGAAAGCAGTGACAAGAGTAAAAGAGTTAGGAAGAAATTTCATGAGGAAGAGTGACAATAATAACCATGATGCAGAAACAGGAAGTCCCAAACTAAAAGTTCTGTGAGTGTGGTACAAGAAAATAGACCTACCTCAGGTAGGTTATCAAAAGGTTTATGTGGCTGGTCGTGGTGGTTCATGCCTGTAATCCAAGCACGTTCAGAGGATGAAGCAGGAGGATTGCTTGAAGCCAGCAGTTCAAGACCAGCCTGGGCAGCATAGCGAGATCCCTGTCTCTGCAATAAATTTTTTTAAAGACTTTCCAGGCATATGGTGCATGCCTGTAGCCTCAGCTACTTGGGAGGCTGATGTGGGAGTATTACTTGACCCTGGAGGTTCAAGGCTGTGGTGAGCCATAATTGTGCCACTGCAGTCCAACCTAGGTTACAGGGCAAGACCCTGTCTCAAAAGAAAAGAAAATATTTTTTAAAAGTTTATGTATTTAGACTTTGCAAAAACTGAGTGTATTTGCTATTTTTTTTTTTCTGGTTTACTTTTCATAGCCTCATAAAAACAATTGACTATTTCAGATGTTCTTATAGTTTATTATGTATTTAACAGCACTTTTCATGTGTTGTTACTAAAAATCCAAACCAATGGTTTTCATTTTTGTCACCTTGAATATCAGTGAATTGAAATCTCTAAAATAGTACAGGGTGGCCGTGATCTGTAAACCAACTTGATGACAGTACCCCACCCTTCCCTTCAACAAATATGCTGTGAGCCCAGATAGAGAAACCTAGTACCTTTATTAGATAAGGCCACTAATTATAGTGAGGTAGGGCGCATTCATTCACATCCTCTGGTACTTCTGAAGAAGCAGGAGTAATGATGTGTCAGAACCGATAAAAGGTGCTCAGAAACATGTTGCCTGCTTTTTGTCCATAGGGAATACACATCTGTGACTAAAGACATATTAGACTTTCTATGAAAAACTCAAGATGCAATCTTTATAAGGAAAATTTTCACTATTAGGCTATTTGTTAATAAGTAATACACCAGAGTTTAATTTATGTATTTTTTTCTGATGTAATGTTCCAACTCTTGGAAAGGTAGTTTATGAAATTTTTAAAAAAGAAGAAGCCCAAAATATTACACTAAAAGCAGAAAATCCTTTTACATATTAAATTAATTGGCTATTTGAACAATGTCCTAGTTTTCACCATATCTGCAAGCATCTCATGATATAATATACCACAAATATCAGCAAATGTTATTCTTCTATAGAGTCTTTCTTATGTTACTACTCCTGATTATATTACCCAAAAGGAGAAAACATTTATGGTATTATTTAGCTTTTTTGTTTTTTAACATTCAATAAGCATTTAGTTAGTTTCTCCTATGTCCATTTCAATAAAGAAACTAGATTTTCCTTACTGATTTTGATTTGATTTTTTTCTACCAAACTGAGACATCTTTTAAAATTTAGCACTAAAATAAGAACAATACTTAATTTGTATTACAAATAGCAAAGATTGATGCATGTAGACCACAGAAACTTGGCTACAAAGCTAGGCTTTTGGAGCTAGTAATATGAAGTCTCTCTAATGATGTACAGGTCTTCGTGACCCGTATTTGGTTCAAACTTAGCCCTTTACAGGTGGGGGAAGGTGGGGCAAAGAGTGGGGAACAAGTCGGGTTCTATTAGCAGATTGGGGAGTGAAGGGGGTTCTAAGTGAAGTAAGTCTACCAGCTATTGCACAAATAATGAGTTTTGAATATTGCAGGGAAAACTGTGGTTATTTGTTGCAGGAAAATAAAGTACCTGCCATTTCTGCGTTTGTTTCAGGTTAAATAAATGTTTAAATATATTTTTAAGAAAGACGTGTTCATGGAAACCAGTAATTTTAATTCTACTTGAAATATCATGACATAATTTTCACTTTTTTCTTCTCAAACCCATGCTTCCCAGTTGATCTTAAATTGGGACCCCTTCCTCACAAGTTTTAAACAGGTCTAATTCATGACAGTTCATATCCATATCTGAAATTTATGGCAGCGAATCTCTATGCCAGTGGTCACTATCACATGGCTCCATTCAGTTCCCAGAAGGAAAATAGTGAGTCAAACTTCTCTAACCCCCATCAGGCTTCAGGGAGAGAGAATTTTCTCATCAAAGAGATCCTTGAGAACCCTGTTTTAAAGTCAGCTCCCGTCACTTTGAACCTACAATTTTACTACAATGCGTCTGCTAATTATCTTATACAATCATACACATTTATTTTGAGAACTGTTTCCTCTGCTTCTTCTAAGTTAATTTTCTAAAACTATTTTCTATAGAACTGGAAATAATTTGGCCAGAGGGAATTGTCAAAGCCAGTCCGTAACAATAGAGGAATGAGGTTTAGATAATTTATATTGGCCCAGGATTTACTTTTACTTATAGAAAACTTTTTAAAATTGCTTTTAAAGGCTTCTGTATTGGTCTTTTTGTTTGTTTCTCTGTTTCACTTTTGCTTTTTAATTTTTTATTTATTTATGTATTTTTTGAGATGGAGTCTCCCTCTGTCACCCAAGCTAGAGTGCAGTGGCATGATCTCAGCTCACTGCAACCTCCAGGGTTCAAGTGATGCCGGTGCCTCAGTCTCCCTTGTAGCTGGGATTACAGATGTGTGTCACCATGCTCAGCTAATGTAAACGTATGTATTTTTAGTAGAGATGGAATTTTGCCATGTTCCTCAGGCAGGTCTGAGACTCCTGAGGCTCAAGCAATCCACCCACCTTGGACTCCAAAAGTGCTGGGATTACACATGTGAGCACTGTGCCCAGCCTGCTTTTGCTTTATTAAAGACAAAAATATAAAGTTACTTTCTGAGGGATTAAGTAATACACTAGGCGTATTTAAGACATTTAGTTACTTCACTTGGTTAGTCACTCTGCAGCCACTAAAAGTACAAATCCAATGTGTAATAAGACTTTAATAAGAAGAAATAATTAATGAAAAATTAAAATTAATTTATAGCATTTAGACCAACTATAGTTGAGGCATGTCTTAATAAAGCTTCTTTTAAAAAGGGAGGGAGACCAGGTATAATGGCTCATGCCTGTAATCCCAATGCTATGATAATCCCAGCACTGTGGGAGGCCGAGGCAGAAGGATCACTTAGCCCAAGAGTCTGAGACTAGCCTGGGCAACAGAGTGAGACTGTCTCTACAAAACAATAAAAAGATTAGCTGTGCATGGTGGCATGCACCTGCAGTTCCAGCTACATGGGAGGCTGACGCACAAGGATCAGTTGAGCCTGGGAGGTCAAGGCTGCAGTGAGCTGTATTTGAGCTACTGAACTCCAGCCTGGGCAATATAATGAGATCCTGCCTCAAAAAATTAAAATAAAATAAAAAGTAAATAAAAAGGGAGAAGGTGTTATTATCAAGGCCAAAAGTAAAAATTATAGTGAGATTGATGTTCAAAGTTAATAACACCTGTAGTTTTAACATGTTCTGATGTAGGCTTTACTGTCAAGTAGTTAAAAAAAAAAGACTCAATCTCCATTTATAGGACAGTCAGTGGCCTGTGGCAATCTGTAAGGATGAGAGAGAGAAAAGAGCAGGATTAACATCTCACTCTCCCGTGGGACTGAACCATGGGACCTGCAAATCCCAAGACAGGGGGAGACTCATACAAGGTCACTTGGGATTAGGCATGCAAACTAATGGCCTTACTAATTGTTCCAAGGGGTCCTGTGATTGGGCGTGAAGCCAGCACACTTCAGCCAACAAAGCATTTCAATTAGGTACAGTCGCAATGCCAAGTTCCTTAGCAAGAGCATGTGAAAAGGCTCCTTTTGACTTTTGATCAAATCCATTTAAAATCTTTGCCATGGGACCCTGAAAATCACCCTTATAAAATATGCCTGGAATGTCTCATACCTGGGAACTAATATTATATGTTATTCTTACTATAGAGCTTACGACCAATGAATTGGTTCATAATGCTCTCAAGTAAATGGATTTCAAAACAAAACACTGCTGTAGATCAGGCTGGAGACAGGAAATCCACCCACATTTGCCAGCAATGTTAGACTATCTGCTTTTGAAGGCAGAGTCCTTGTCTTATACCTCTGTGCAGGTGCAGAGCCCAACATATGGTAGACATTTCTTGAATTGTTTTTCTGATTGTATTGATAAGATAAACAGTGGATTCCTTGAGCTTGTAAAATATGCCTCAAACAAATAGGTGGTTTACGGTTTGGAAGACTCTTTTCTACTCTATTTTCTTGGCTACCCATGGTGAGACTTGAAATATTTGTGCTTTTAGGATAGCAGAAGAGATTTTTTCCTACCCTGGGAAATCCAGCCCAGTGGCAGTGTGCCGGCTTCGTGGTGGTTGTCTAATCCCTCCTGCTTTGGAACACTCATTTGTGCGAGATGTGAAGTCTCCTGCCTTGGATCTGATCATAGAACTATGGAGAAGGGCTTTCACTTCAGTACACTTTATTTTCTTTTCAAGTGTAAGAAAAACAAGGTTGGACCCACACGTAGTCCTGGATACTTTGTTTTCAGCTCTTATTTGTCTTTTCTATTGCATTTTTGGTGACAATAGTGATTCACAACCAAAAGAAGGATTCAGATTTATTCTCTTCAAGAGGGATACTCCCATAATTTCAACTCTGCTGAGGTAGATACAATAAGGGAAGTTAAAGAACCCCAAAGCAAAAGAGTTAGGACAGACTGCGCAATTTCTGTGGCCTGTGCACACAATCATCTGCCTGTTCTGCCAAGCTCCCCTATGTGGAATCAAACAAGTCTTCAGAGAAAGGAATTCAATTTGTTGTTTTTCTGGTGAGGAATGCAGGAATTTAGGAGACATTGAACACTTACATCTTAACCATGAAAGTTTGGAGAATGTAACCTGGAAAAATATACTTTTATAAATTTAAACAATATTTGCAAATTCAAATTCCTATATAGACCAACAAGGTAAGAAACAAATTTGTGAAGTGGGGCAGGTATTAGATGAAAGAAGTGTTAGGGCTGTGGCAGAGTGGTACATTTATGCCTGTTCCAAAGTTATTCAAATTATTGAACGTACGCACACACCTTGGGCCAAACATTTCAGTGGCTATATATAGTTTTTTGGCCATTACTTTAACCCATAGATCCTATCTGGAATTTTGTTTAGGTTGTCCATGTTAGGAAAGTTTTTCCACGTGGGACTTAAGCCTAGATCCGCTTACTGTCATGTGACATTTAAAGAGAGGTATGATTTCAAAAGAACTAAAGATTGAGCTATGTGGAAGCAGGGCCTTCTTAGCCCTTCCTAATTCACCCAAAGCTCGATCTGCTACTACAATGACCCAGTGAGGACTGTGTCTGGACCCTCATTCAGTATTCCTCTCCTTGAGCTCCCCCTAGAGGTCAGAGTCCTCCATTAACAGGCCCCCTGCTGTTACTCAGTATCTTCTGAAAGGTGAGATAAATACGCTGGAATAGGAGTGGTACTGGTGTTGCTGATGCTAAGAAAAGAACAATCAAAGGAGAACTAAGAACAATATTTATATATATTTATTCCTCACGTCTTGTTCAATAAATATTGAGGGCATACTACATGCATGAAATTATGATAGGTGTTCTGGAAAATGCAAAAATCACCAATACAATACCTCGCTCTTTGGGGAAACTAAAAGCCCGCATAAAGCAACCATTCTTTCTTCCATCTTAACCATTCGTTCTGACGTCTTACAATTATCTTTCACTAATTTTTCTACTATGTACTTCTTAAGTAATGACGTTCTTAAGAATTCTTTTCGAACTTTCTTTCCTCATTTTACAGACCTTTATTTAGGTACACCTGTTCTTTCTTCTGGTTTCAGTTACCACCTATTTTCTGAAGATTTTCACCTTTATAGCTCTATATCTCTAGACTGCACCCTTCCTGAGTGACAGACTTAAGCTCACAATTTTCTGCTGGAATTCTCCTTTAGAATATTTCAAAGTCAATTCGAATCCAACATATCCCAATGAAAATTCAAGGCCATAAGTATTTGGTGCCATATGTGCAATACTAGCAATAAGTGCTATGAATCTAGATCACTTTGAGCTGAGATGCCTGGGAAAGTCTTATGGCAGAGGTAGACATGGGCAAGACTTCAACAAGGGATTGTTATTGGGCAACACTGAACAAAATCAGGAGCACACCTACCATTGTTTCTTTTCTTTCTTTGTTTCTTTCTTTTTCTTTCTTGCTTTTTTTTTTGGAGACAAAATCTCACTCTGTCACCCAGGCTGGAGTGTAGTGGTGCAATCACAGCTCACTGTAGCCTTAACTTCCTGGGCTCAAAAGATTATCCTGCCTTAGCCTCCTCAGTATCTGGGACTACAGGCCAGTGCAGCCACACCTTGATAATTTTTAAATTTTCTGTAGAGATGAGGTCTCACTTATTGCCTAGGCTGGTCTCGATCTCCTGGTCTCAAGAAATCCTCCTGCCTTGGCCTCCCTAAGTGCTGGGATTACAGGCATGAGCCACAGTGCACAGCCTTATCCCAATACTTTGGAGGTTCAAGCTCAGTTTTGACCTCTATTACAATCCATATATATATATATTTTTTTTTTTTTTTTAAAGCGGAAACTTCCCTCTTGGCAATCTTTTTCATTCTGTCTGTTTTATTTTTCCTCTTCTAATTGAGGAGATTGGAGATTGAAGACCAGATAAGCAGAAGTCCCAGCCATATTCAGCTCACCTCAAAAGTATACATATTTTCCAAACATTTGTAGATTCCTTGATGCCTGGAAACCGAAAAGGACAATCCTGAATCCCAGTTGAGAGGCAGCTTTTGAATGCCAGGCATTTTCTTTATTCACTCTCCCTCCACTTAAGAGTGTGGCTCTGGCTCTGCCTTTGTTTCAGCCAGTAGCTGAATGCAGCCTCTCAGGCTCACAGCACTGCCCTGTAGTCCTCTGAAAGGATTGCTGTTCTTTCTCTTCCCTCCCTAGCAGTGTGGCACTTCCAGCTTAAGCAACTCTCAGCCCAACTGAACTCTTTTATAATCCCACCAGGCAAGCTCTTTTGATACTTATTTCAAAATAAAATAGATGTTTTCTTCTTTATATCTTATGCAATGTTGTTTAGAAGGAACACGGAGAGGATTTTCTGTTCCCTGAGTAATCACAGTAGTTGCTTTTCTTCCTAGAATTGTAGATAATTAAGAACATGATTTTTTTTTTTTTTTTTTTTTTTTAGTGTACGACTAGGTACACCATGAAAATCTTAGCTGTGTTGTACTTTTTCATGAGAAAAAAAGTATCCTTTTTACTGTGATAGCCTCGGGGTAAAATAAGTTATACTATCACAGCTTACAAAAAAGGCAATATAGTTGTGAAAATTCACTAGAAAACAAGAGGCTCTATTAAAGAGTTCTAATATCTTGTGGTTTTTCCTTCCACAATGACAGTTATTAAAATTTTTTAAATTTTATTTATTTTTTTGTAGCCTCTTTATAGAAAACTGTCCATTTCATTTATCAACCAGAGTTATGAAAGAGATCTTTTATAATTGCATCTACTGAAGTTAATTAGGCATATTATATATCATGGCTTGTTTACCATAATACTGGCTTTATTCTTGATTGAAGTGTTATTTGGTGAGTCTGTTTAATGAAGGGTTATGTGTTTTCTTTTGTAATTCTAAAAGTCACAAAAAATTTAGCCCAGATGAATAAATGAAGTTAAGAAGCATTTGAAGAAAGAAAGGAAGTCTCCCAATTTTTGCTAGTTTATTAAGCTAGTGCTTGCATTGGAAAGTAGTGAAAAATCTGTTTTGTTTTTAAAGGCAAAACTAGGCAAAATCGCACTTGGCTTAGGTTTTGATGGGATAGTCATTTGGCTTTTAAAAATGCATCCTACAGATACAAGAGCATGCACAGACTAGGAACCGGCATGACTTGTTTCAAAGTTAAGGACACAAATATGGTTATAATATAGTCATCTCCACCCTACCTCCACCAATCAATCATTTACTCCCCTGTACCTCTTTTTAGAAAACAAAACAAAACAAAATAAAATGATATCTTTCTTTAAGACCCAACTTCGCTTTCCCTGCTAGGCAAAAAAAAGAAGAAGAAGAAAAAAAACAAAAACAAAAAAAACAAAAAAAAAGAAGAAGAAGAAAAATCCAAGAACCCTAGGAAGGGTGACACTTGTCCTGATTCCAACACTAAACAGAAAGGAAACTATCTGCCCAATTAGACTGCTTCTGCCATTGCTGTTCCCTGGCACACAATGTTGATGTTAAGACCTGAGCCTGCAGATTGATGGACAGTGGGTGTGTGCCATCGCTGAGGTATTCTCGCTGTTATATATACATGCCAGGCCATAGGGGTGTCCTGTATTATGTGCCAAGGTGATAGCTCTTTTTAGTTCATACCACCATGCTCCGCTACTGTTGCTGAAAGCACATAAAATGGGAGGAAAGAGTATTTCAGAGGTGTAAAATAGCATGTGTTACACTTCGAGACAGAAGAGGTATGGTCATGTCTAGACAGAGAAATACACTGGAAAACATCACTTTCTAACAGTGGATAACTTTGGACTATAGGATCATAGATGACTTTGTTTCAACTTTCTTAGTCTTCTGCAAGAAAACCACATTACCTTATTATTTAAAAATGTTTTAGTACCCAAAGGAGTAAAAAATCAGTGACAGAGGAAAAAAACAAAACCTAGAAGTGATATTATTTTTATTTTTATTATTATTATTATTTTTGAGATAGGTTCTCACTGTCACCCAGGCTGGAGTGCAGTGGCCCAATCATAGCACTGCAGCCTTGAACTCCTGTCTTCAAACAATCCTCCCACCTCAGCCTCCTGAGTAGCTGGGACTACAGGAACACACCATCATGAATAGCTAATTTTTAATTTTAATTTTTTTATGGAGAGATGGAGTCTCCCTATGTTTTCCAGGCTGGTCTTGAACTCCTGAGCTCAAGTGGTCCTCCCACCTCAGCCTTCCAAAGTTTTGCGATTATAGGCGTGAACCACTGTGTCCAGCTAGTAATATTTTAAAAAGTGTTATGGAGCAGTACTCAAGCTGTATAAGAAGAGGAAAATGAAAAAATGAATTCATCAGATTTAAGGAAAACATTGATGTAGGAATCCAGTTTTCAAATAAAGCCTGGATCTGGGTACTGGCAGATTCTGTGGAGAAGGTTATAGAGAAATAAGAAAGAATGTAGGGCTGAATTCAGCATGGAAGCTTTTCTCACCTGTTTTTTCTATCTCAAAGGTGCCACCCACAGAGATGCCTGAGAATTTTCCTTAGTCCTTCACTCCATTCTATTTCAGGATTTAGCTTTATGTCTTTGTTTTCCTGCATCTTGAATGTGATATATCAAAGTATAAATATTTTTATGCTCATCCTGGTTGGTGTCCTCTGAACTTCTTGGATCTGTTGTTTTGTGACTTTGAGGGGAGACAACCGTCTTGCCCTGCTCAGGTGCAACAGCAGATAACATGCAGATTATCAACTAAAGTAACTAGAATCAGTCATTAACTATGCCCCTTGTCCTTCTTCCTATCTCCTTTTGGCTTTATTGCTATTAAGGCATAGTAAAACCAACAGACCAGGAGATAACTGCCATTGAAAAGGTAGTTTATTATACTCTCAGATCCCAAGAGAAGGAGTACAGGTCATGCCACAGAGGCCGCATAGGGAAGCGCCAGGGTTGGTCCCAAAGCAGAGGGAGAGGGGAAAACTGGTGCCCACGAGCCTTCACCATAGTTTCTATGGGGAAAATGGGCAAGGCAGGGCAATCAGGCTTAGAATGGGAGAGCTTGAAAATTCCAGCAAGTTCTGGGGTATGGGGGTTGTCCCTAGTTGTCTGGCATCTAGCCCTGGGGTGAATTTCAGCAGGTGTATAGTGGCTTGGAGTGTGAGATAAGGGAGGTGGTTGAGGGTATAGACTCTGAATTGGTTCATTTGTATTTGAATAGTGTGCCACTGGGGAGGAGAAACCCCTTTGACAAGAGCGGGGACAAAGGAGGCAGGAGGCTAAGGCAAGATGACTCAGGCATATTATCAGGTTGTCCAGAATTTGATGTATCTGGCATATGCATGTAGGATAGATAAAGCATCAAGCTTACAGAAGCAGGCGACATGGTTAATATACCCTTCTCCCTCTCATCCTCTTTCTCTCTCCCTCTGGCTTTCATACCCCTGTGAAGAGGCTTATGACAAAGGTCCAGTGTACTTTGCTAATGCGTGGTGGGTGGAGAGCAGTGGGAGAGTTGAAAATGGGATGGGGGCAACAGGATGAATCTCCACTCTTGGGTGCCTCACAGCATCCCCAGTTACCTAAAGAACTTCACTTTACTGAAGAAGTCTTTTGTGTGTAAAATCATAGCTAAGGAAGATGTATCATTAAACTAGTGATAGCTGTGTTATCAAAAATTACCCTAATAATAATGAATAATTTTAAAATTATTAAAATGCCTTTATGAATAATTTTTACTCCAAATTTGAATACTTATTAAGCTATGTATGTGTATATATATGGTTTAGAAAATACATATTTAGAAAATATAAACTATATATTTTACAATCTTGATTTGTATATTAAAAATATAAACCCTATATTGTATGTTTTATATTACAAATATATTTATATATGAGATATTACAAATGTTATAAGAATATAAGTGACAATGCATTTATTACACATGGCATTGACCATTCTTACCAACCTCGAACTTTCTAAATCACGAGTCTCCTTCAAAACCTATTTAAAGTTCCACATCCTTGGGGAACTTGGGAGTAAGCCTTGCTCCCTAACAGGCTAATCCTGCCCATGGTATTGCAGCACTGATTACACTTGCTAATCTACCCCAGGTTATGGCCAGTCCTGGCCACTGGACTGCCACAGTGTTCTCCAAATAAAGGCTTTTTCCTGAATATTTCTGATAAGAATACTCCTAAACCTGAGTTTTTATCTTGAGTGTCATTATCTCTGTCCTCCAACTCCCCATGTCCTCACATTCTGTATGCTCAATTCAAGATACTAGAATTCTATCTTGACCTATGTTTTGAGTTTTTGCAATGTTATCCTGCCTTGCTGCTTAGACCTGCTGAAGGGTTTCTGCCAGTACAGAAGCCCAGTCTTTGTACATTATAGATTTCCTAGATGGTGATGACAAGCCTGTCTCTACTGCCAAGTATCTCCTTCTACTGTTATTGATGTGTCCTGCCACCCCAAAGCTGCAATTTACTAACAGATGAGTCTATTTCTAAATCCCGGACATTATCTTAAATTAAACCTTACCTTGAGTAACTAGCCATGCCTAGATGATGAGTTATAAAATAATATACTAAGCATTCCAGCTAGTTTTGCTCTCTTCTCACACACTTTATATCAAACACATTAACTTGTTTTGCAGCCAACTGGATTCGGGGAATCACTTCTCCTGTTACATTCGGAGGAGCCGTACTTCCTCCTGTCTACAATTCATCCTTCCACTTGAGCTTTGAATTCTCCCTGCTCCCTGCTTCTGAGATCTCTCACATGTGATTATTTGATAAATGTCTACCTCCCACAGTAGGCTGTAATTTGTAGATCAGTGATCTTATTCTATTTTTGATTCCTATTGCACCCCTAATGCCTGGTAGACTGCCTGGCACATAGTAAGTGCTCAATAAATATCTGTTGAATAAACAAATGAAAATGCTAAGGCCCTTGAAGTATGGGACTGTATAATGTAAACTCCATCTTAGAATCTACTGTCATGTTACTCAGACTCTCAAAATATATGTAAATGATGAATGAAGACACTCTTGAAGAAATATGTAATTTAATGCTATGTTAGAATTCATAGGCTTCAGAAGATTAATCTTCAATTTCAGAGAAAAGTATTCTGCATAGAAGTTTAGACCTAAATAAAAGAGGACATATCCCTAGATAAAAGTTCAGACTAGCTGTCAATGATATGGTGCATTCCTAGGCTCATTTTGATGGTCAATATCCACATTCCTTTTTTGAAATCTGTTTAAATAATTTTCTCCTTTTCATATGGGCAAGAAAACAGAATTGGTTTGATCAAAAGACTCAATGCAGTTTCTAACCATTGCACAAGCCAACAAAAGGCTCACTCTGTGTTCATTTTTGGGTTAGTCCACATCTCCATCATTTATTATGGAATGTAACTGGTATTTCCTGCTTTCACAAAGAAACATAAACCCCAGTTGAAATGTCAAGAACTCAAAAGGATGGGGCTGTGTTCTCTCCATTCGTAAAACAAGGAATCCTCCCTCCGCAAAAATCCCAAATAAGACCTGAGGGCCTAACAACAGCAGTCCCAGTTCTGTTTGCTCTGTAGCAGTGCTGTCCAGTAGAAACTTAATGCCAGTTTCTTAAATATAAGCCACATGTGTAATTTAAAATTTTCTAGTATCCACATTTAAAAAAAGGTAAGAGAAATGTTGAAAATAGTTTTAGTAATGTATTATTAAAATGTAATGCTGTTTATTTAATTTTAAAAATATTTCAGCATTCTAAACATACAAAAAAACAGAGTGTTGGAGATCATGTTTAAGTACAGAAGGTTCTTGAACTTTCATTGATGCAGTGGCTCTTCGCTTTGTTGACAATGAAATGTTCTACACTTTCTTTAAAAACAAATGGTTTAAAAACTACCACACTTAACTGAAAAAAAAGCAAAAACAAAAAGTAAATACTTTTCAAGCCAGCTGACCACCTTTTGTTCACAGCTAGGAATGGTAGCAGAATGCTATGTGGTTAGATACAGAAACAAGACAACCTGAAGCTAAATGGATGCCCAGTGCATAGTCAACAGGCCCAGCCTCACAGTGCACAGCCTGAGCTACGGCCACTCCCAGAGGCATCTTCTACCACAGCCTCAACATCAAGCAAAGAGCATCAAGAGTTTGTCTTGGTTGTTTTGTTCGTTTTACAAACTATGGATATATGCAATTGATAACTCAGGATTTCTAGCTAATAACCATGTAGTTAACACTACCTTACAAATTAAAAAAAAAAAAATGCCAGAAGCACCTTTAAATGCCTTATCACACTAACAGCAAAGCACACAGAGTGAGGAGAGCATGAAGTTGCCTTTTCATTTTAAAAATATTTGGAAATATGTACAACTTTGATATAGTTTCAGGGTGCTCTAGACCCACTTGACCACTTCATGTAAAGAGTTTCTAGTTTGAGAAACAACAATATGATCATAATCAAACTTTGTAATTAAAACTAATGAGGGCAACAGATACTTCTCAAATAAGAGATGTGTCAATTACAGCTCTCCCCTACTTCAAGGCAGGTGTCCCCAACCCCTGGGCCATAGATAGATACCAGTCAGTGGCCTGTTAGGAACCAGGCCACACAGCAGGAGGTGAGTGGCAAGTGAGCAAAGCTTCATCTGTATTTACAACCACTCCCCATGGCTCACATTACCATCTGAGCTCCGCCTCCTGTCAGATCAGCAGCAGCTCTCATAGGAGAGCAAACCCTGTTGTAAACTGTGCATACGAGGGATCTAGTTTACCTGCTTCTTATGAGAATCTAACTAATGCCTGATGATCTGTCACTGCCTCCCATCACCCCCAGAAAGACTGTCTAGTTGAAGGAAAACAAGCTCTGGGCTCCCACTGATTCTACGTTATGGTGAGTCATATAATTATTTCATTATATATTACAATGTAATAATAATAGAAATAAAGTGCACAATAAATGTACTGTGCGTGAATCATCCCAAAGACCATCTCCCAACCCATCCATGGAAAAACTGTCCCACAAAACTGGTCCCTGGTTCCAAAAAGGTTGGAGACTGTTGCTCTAAGGTATTCACAAGGAGACAAACAGTTTTTTAAATTTTTTACTCCTCTCCCTCCTCCTTATTTTCCATCCTCCTCATTTTCTTTGTTGTCCTCTTCCACCTTTTTCCAGGCAACTTTAGTGGAACCCTTTGGGCCATCAAACTTTCCTTTAGACTTACAGTCAGCAACATCCTTCTCATACTTCTTCAGCTGTGCCACCTTAGTGATGTAAGGCTGCTTTTCACTGTCATTTAAGTTATTCCACATCTCACCCAGCTTTTTGACATGTCTCCAATAGAGATGTCAGGGTTTGTGGATTTGATCTTGTGGCAGAATTCTGAATAGAAAAGGAAGAATCCAGATGGTGGCCTTTTGGGGGCGTTAGGGTTCTTCTTCTTGCCTCCCTTAGCTGGTTCTTAATTCTTTATCTCCCAATCATAGTGTACTTATCTGCCTTCGCCATTTCGTCAAATTTAGACTTCTCTTTCCCAGACATCGTCTTCCACCTCTCAGAGCAATTCTTGGAAAATTCTGTAAAATTAATAGGGAACTCTAGATTTTTCTTTTTATGTTCTTCTCTGCCCATCTGCACAAAGAAGGCATAGGCAGACATCTTGCCCTTTGGTTCCTTCGGGTCAACTTTATCCATCCTGAGTGTATTGTTCCAATATATTTTATTTAGCTTAAAATATCAAAACAGTCATTTCAACATGTAATCAATATGAAAATTATTGAGATATTTTACATGTTTTTCCTATACTAAGTCTTTGCAATCTGATGTGTACTTTACACTTCAATTCAAACTAGCCAAAATTTGAGAGCTTAATCGCAGGGTGTGGCTAATGGTTACACATTGGGCAGCAATTGTTTCCCATACAATTGAGAGAGATGTCCACATTTATTTCTACTGCAGCAATTGGTACCATAATGAGGAAAGGCCAGCTGTTGAAATCTCTGTAAAGTTTTAATAGATTCAGTAAGTAAGATCTAACCAAGTGCTTGAGTTCTCTCCAAGCCTCTGCTCACTGCAGCTGCAGTTGCTAGATTAAGCTCAGCTTTGATACAATGTGACTGGGTTCATGCTGCTGCTCTTATTGCTGCCATCATTATACAACCTTGTCCAGGCTCACTGTGGCCAGACACAGGAAGAACTCTTTTTCCTTTCATGTCAAGTACAGCCAAGTGTGCTTAAGCCAAAACTGACTCGACATCTCAGTCCTACAGCTTTTGTCAGATTCACTCACATGTATACTTTCTGTTTTTCTTACTCTGGGTAACTCTAACGATCAGAAAGCATCCTTCTAGGCCAAGTACCTATAAATGCTAATAATAATAATAAGTAACAAGTAGCTATAAATGCTAGAATAATATATATATAAATTTTTAAATTTATTTTTTTGAGACAGGGTCTCACTGTTGCCCAGGCTAGAATGCAGTGGTGTGGTTATAGCCCACTGCAGCCTCAAATTCCTGTAGTCCAACAATCCTCCCTCCCACCTCAGTCTCCTGAGTAGCAGGGACCACAGGTGCACAGCACCATGTCTGGCTAATTTTTTAATTTTTTGTAGAGATGGGGTCTCTCTATGTTGCCCAGGATGTTTTTGAGCTCCTGGACTCAAGCAATCCTTCTGCCTTGGCCTCTCAAAGTGTTGGGAATACAGGTGTGAGCCACCCCACCACAGCCAGCTGAATATTTTTTTTTTTTTTGAGATGAAGTCTTGCTCCTGTCACCCAGGCTGGAGTGCAATGGCACGATCTTGGCTCACTGCAACCTCCGTCTCCCAGGTTTAAGTGATTCTCCTGCCTCAGCCTCCTGAGTAGTTGGGATTACAAGTGCATGACACCACCCCTGGCTAATTTTTGTATTTTTAGTAGAGACAGGGTTTTACCATGTTGGCCAGGCTGGTCTCAAACTCCTGACTTCAGGCGATCCGCCCACCTTGGCCTCCCAAAGTGCTGGGATTACAGGCATGCATGTGCCACCGCACCTGGCCCTGAATAATATTTTTTAAATAAGGTTTTAACAGACAGGACAAATAAAATTGTGGAGAATTAATAAACCAAGCTTTAGTGTCATGAGAATAGCATAAGTTTTCTTAAATTTTCTTATGTAGTAAATCACAAAGATTATACTGTGGATTCTGATAATTTCCAGCTCATCTTTACTAGAGAGTGATTGATAGTAGATCTAACCTAAGATGATTTTGTTGATTTTTCAAATTGTGTTGCCTGGACCTAATGCATCTGCAGAGCCTGCTGCTGGGGGCCCTGGGGCAGAGGAGAGAGGCAGGTGTGGATAAAGGGTAGCAGGCAGCAGGGCATTGGCTTCTCATTCTCTTCTTCCCAAACCTCCACCATTGTCTTCCATTGTTTTTCTTTCAATGCTTCTGGGCAAGATCCGGTATGGATAAATGGTTTCTGTGCCCAATTTTTAAAAGCCCACCTACCTAAGGGAATTGTCTCTGTTTTGATTCAGTCTGCATATTTTTTGTGCTCCCCATATTACATTTTTATCCTGCCATCTGTGCTGAGATGTCCACTTTTTCCTTAGAGGCTTTACTACTAAGTACTGTCTTTGCTTGTGCAACTGTTCAAAGAAAAATCTTTCAGTACCACATCTTTTAAGCTCATTTTTATTGTGGTTTTTTTTTTTTTTTTTGGCTTTCTGTTAATTTAAGTAATATTCTTACTGTGGGGGAAGAAACTAAATAGAAAAAAGGACATAAAAGTCATCCATAATCACATCACACAGAGATAAAAATGTTAACATTTTGAAAATTTCCTCCTGAATTTTAGTTCATGTGTATTTTAAACTAAATTTGAATCATCTTTTATGTGTTTTTCATTATTGTGATCTTGTGTCTATTTCATTAAAGCATAATCATTATTAACTTTAAAATTCTTTTTTTTAATTTTTAAAATTATACTTTTGTCAATTTTGGCTTCTGTTGCCATTGCTTTTGGTGTTTTAGTAATGAAGTCTTTGCCCATGCCTATGTCCTGAATGGTATTGCCTAATTTTTCTTGTAGGGTTTTTATGGGTTTTGGTCTACATTTAAGTCTTTAATCCATCTTTAATCCATCTTGAGTTAATTTTTTGTATAAGATGTAAGGAAAGGATCCAGTTTCAGCTTTCTGCATATGGCTAGCCAGTTTTCCCAACACCATTTATTAAATACAGAATCCTTTCCCTATTGCTTGTTTTGGTCAGGTTTGTCAAAAATCAGATGTTGGTAGATGTGTGACATTGTTTCTGAGGCCTCTATTCTGTTCCATTGATCTGTATATCTGTTTGGTACCAATACCATGCTGTTTTGGTTACTGTAGCATTGTAGTATAGTTTGAAGTCAGGTAGTGTGATGACTGCAGCTTTGTTTTTTGCTTAGGATTGTCTTGATTATGCAGGCTCTTTTTTGGTTCCATATAAAATGTAAAGTAGTTTTTTCCAATTCTGTGAAGAATGTCAATGGTAGCTTGATGGGGATAGCATTGAATCTATAAATTACTTTGGGCAGTATGGCCATTTCCATGATACTGATTCTTCCTATCCATCAACATGGAATGTTTTTCCATTTGTTTGTGTCCTCTCTTCTTTCCGTGAGCAGTGGTTTGTAGTTCTCCTTGGATAGGTCCTTCATATCCCTTGTAAGTTGTATTCCTAGGTGTTTTATTCTCTTTGTACCAATTGTGAATGGGAGTTCACTCATGATTTGGCTCTCTGTTTGTCTATTTTTGGTGTATAGGAATGCTTGTGATTGTTTGCACATTGATTTTGTATCCTGAGACTTTGCTGCAAGTTGTTTATCTGCTTGAGAAGATTATGGGCTGAGACCTTGGGGTTTTCTAAATATACAATCATGTCATCTGCAAACAGAGACAATTTGACTTCCTCTTTTCCTAATTGAATATTCTTTATTTCTTTATCTTGCCTGATTGCCCTTGCCAGAACTTCCAACACTATGTTGAATAGGAGTGGTGAGAAGGGGCATCCTTGTGCCGGTTTTCAAAGGGAATCCAGTTTTTGCCCATTCGGTATGATACTGGCTGTGGGTTTGTCATAAATAGCTCTTATTATTTTGGGATACATTCCATCACTGCCTAGTTTGTTGAGAGTTTTTAGCATGAAGGGCAGTTGAATTTTATCAAAGGCCTTTTCTGCATCTATTGAGATAATCGTGTGGTTTTTGTCATTGGTTCTGCTTATCTGATGGATTACGTTTATTGATTTGCATATGTTGAACCAGCCTTGCATCCCAGAGATGAAGCTGACTTGATTGTGGTGGATAAGCTTTTTGCTGTGTTGCTGGATTATCTTTACCAGTATTTTACTGAGGATTTTCACATCGATTTCATCAGGGATATTGGCCTGAAATTTTCCTTTTTTGTTGTGTCTCTGCCAGGTTTTGGTATCAGGATGATGCTGGCCTCATAAAATGAGTTAGGGAGGAGTCCTTCTTTTTCTGTGGTTTGGAATAGTTTTAGAAAGAATGGTACCATCTCCTCTTTGTATCTCCAGTAGAATTCGGCTGTGACTCTGTCTGGTCCTGGACTATATTTGGTTGGTAGCTATTAATTGCTGCCTCTATTTCAGAACTTGTTTTTGGCCTTCTCAGGGATTCTTCTTCTTCCCGGTTTAGTTTTGGGAGGGTATATGAGTCCAGTAATTTATCCATTTTTTTCTAGATTTTCTAGCTTATTTGCATAGAGGTGTTTATAGTATTCTCTGATGATAGTTTGTATTTCTGTGGGATTGGTGGTGATATCCCCTTTATCATTTTTAATTGCATCTATTTGATTATTCTCTCTTGTTTTCTTTATTGGTCTGGCTAGTGGTCTATCTATTTTGTTGATCTTTTCAAAAAACCAGCTCCTGGATTCATTGATTTTTGGAAGGGTCTTTCATGTCTCTATCTCCTTCAGTTCTGCTCTGATCTTAGGTATTTCTTGTCTTCTGCTAGCTTTTGATTTTGTTTGTGCTTTCTTCTCTAGTTCTTTTTATTGTGATGTTAGGGTGTCGATTTTAGATCTTTTCTGCCTTCTCTTGTGGGCATTTAGTGCTATAAATTTCTCTCTACACACTGCTTTAAATGTGTCCCAGAGATTCTGGCACATTGTGTCTTTGTTCTCATTGGTTTCAAAGAACATCTTTATTTCTGCCTTCATTTCATTATTTATCCAGTAGTTATTGAGGAGCAGGTGGTTTAGTTTCCATGTAGTTGTGCAGTTTTGAGTGAGTTTTTTAATCCTGAGATCTAATTTGATTGCACTGTGGTCTGAAAGACTGTTATGATTTCCGTTCTTTTGCATTTTCTGAGTAGTGTTTTATTTTCAATTACGTTGTCAATTTTAGAATAAATATTATGTGATGCTGAGAAGAATGTATATTCTGTTGATTTGGAGTGGAGAGTTCTGTAGATGTCTATTAGGTCAGCTTGGTCCAGAGCTGAGTTCAAGTCCTGGATATCCTTGTTAATTTTCTGTCTCATTGATCTGTCTAATACTGATAGTAGGGTGTTAAAGTCTCCTACTATTATTATGTGGGAGTCTAAGTCTCTTTGTAGGTCTCTAAGAACTTGCTTTAGAAATCTGGGTGCTCCTGTATTGGGTGCATATATACTTAGGATAGCTCTTCTTGTTGCATTGATCCCTTTACCATTATGTAATGACCTTCTTTGTTTCTTTTTAGCTTTGTTGAATTAAAGTCTGTTTTATCAGAGACTAGGATTGCAATCCATGCTTTTTTTGCTTTCCATTTGCATGGTAAATATTTCTCCATCCCTTTATTTTGAGCCTATGTGTGTCTTTGCATGTCAGATAGGTGTCCTGAATACAGCACACCAATGGGTCTTGACTCTTTGTCCAATTTGCCAGTCTGTGTCTTTTAATTGGGGCATTTAGCCCATTTACATTTAAGGTTAATATTGTTGTATGTGAATTTGATTCTGCCATTAAGATGCTAGCTGGTTATTTTGCCCATTAGTTGTTACAGTTTCTTCATAGTATTGATGGTCTTTACAAGTTGGTATGTTCTTGCAGTGGCTGGTACCGGTTGTTCCTTTCCATGTTTAGTGCTTCCTTCAGGAGCTCATGTAGGGCAGGCCTGGTGGTGACAAAATCTCTCAGCATTTCCTTTACTCTAAAGGATTTTATTTCTCCTTTGCTTTTGAAGCTTAGTTTGGCTGAATATGAAATTCTGGTTTGAAAATTCTTTTTTTTTTTTTTTCTTTCTTGAGATGGAGTCTCACTCTGTGGCCCAGGCTGGAGTGCAGTGGCATGATCTCAGCTAACCGCAAAATCCGCCTCCTGGGTTCAAGCGATTCTTCTGCCTCAGCCTCCTGAGTAGCTGGGATTACAGGTGTGCGCCACCATGCCCGGCTAATTTTTGTATTTTTAGTAGAGACAGGGTTTCACCATGTTGGTTAGGCTGGTCTCAAACTCCTGACCTCATGATCTGCCCACCTCAGCCTCCCAAAGTGCTGGGATTACAGGCATGAGCCACTGTGACTGGTCCAAAAAGTTTTTCTTTAAGAATGTTGAATATTGGCCCCCTCTCTCTTCTGGCTTGTAGGGTTTCTGCTGAGAGATCTGCTATTAGTCTGATGGGCTTCCCTTTGTGGGTAACTTGACCTTTCTCTCTGGCTGCCCTTAACATTTTTTTCTTCATTTCAACCTTGGTAAATCTGATGATTATGTGTCTTGGGGTTGCTCTTCTCAAGGAGTATCTTTGTGGTGTTCTCCGTATTTTCTGAATTTGAATGTTGGCTTGCCTTGCTAGGTTGGGGAAGTTCTCCTGGATATTATCCTGAAGAGTATTTTCCAACTTGGCTCCATTCTCTCCATTACTTTCAGGTACACCAATCAAACATAGATTTTGTCTTTTCACATAGTCCTATGTTTCTCAGAGTCATTGTTTCTTTTCACTCTTTTTTTCTATAACCTTGTCTTCTCACTGTATTTCTTTGAGTTGATCTTCAGTCTCTGATATCCTTTCTTCTGCTTAATTGATTCAGCTGTTGATACTTGTGTATGCTTCACGAAGTTCTCATGCTGTGTTTTTCAGCTCCATCAGTTCATTTATGTTCTTCTCTAAACTGGTTACTCTAGTGAGCAATTCGTCTAATCTTTTTTCAAGGTTCTTTTTGTTTCATTTTCTGGGATCTCTCTCTCTCTCTCTCTCTACATATATATGTGTGTGTGTGTGTGTGTGTGTGTGTGTGTGTGTGTGTGTGTGGTCTTGAAAGTTTTAAGGAACAGTGATCAGTTATTTAGTAGAGAGAAAGGTTTGTCTGACGTTCTTCTCATGGTTAGACTGGAGACATGACTTATTATTGGTGATGTTATCCTTCATACCTGGGCAAGATAGTGTTGGATAGTTTTCTCCACTATAAAATTTCTTCCCCTTCCTCTCCCTCCTTTTTTAAATCTTCCTTCATATTCGATTCTTTGGGAGCAAATCATTAAGAACAGTCCATATTTAAAGATTTAGGGTAGTAATCATTAAGTTTCACCTCCTGGAAGGGTGATGTCTTTCACATTTAATTGTATTTTGAGATTTCCTTCATTTGCACTTGACTTGTGAATTTTTATCTGCCTTTTAAAAAATTTGTTAATCTGTATCTTTTTTTTGTATGCTACTTTTACAGTTGAATTCTATTTTACAAGCCAATGTATATCTCTTTGTCTTTTATCAGAGGAATTTCTCAAGATTTTATCTTTACTGATTGATTTCTAAGGGATGCTACTTGCTTCTAACATCATGTTAATCAGCAATGTAAGCTCTGGCATAGCTTACCAACCCTAAGAGTGGCAGGGAGTTGCTCTGTGTAATGGTGGAGTACTCAGCTGTCTTCTCCATGGTGGTTGAGTTCTCTGGATGGGATCAGCTTTCTTCACATGTCACTGAAGTGAAAGGGGACAATTGAAACCTATTTTGACAGGGTGAGTCATTTCTAAGCAAGCAATGTGACCTAAAAAGAAATCTCTTATTTTGTAATACCATAATCTTTCTGGTTCAAATTTTAATAGCTACCATTTGTACGTTTGGCATTATCCTGGATGCTTTATGTGTAACATTTTATTTCATCTTCCCAACATTCCTAAGGGTAAGCCTTGTTAAGATGACATATTCCTCCTAGGAAATGGCAGAAGTTTGAAAACAAGCCCATCTTACTTCTATACCTGTGCTCTTTTCTGCTGCACCAATCCCCTAGTAGACAGAAAAATCCCTGACAGCACATTTCTTCTGCTTCCTACCCTTTCCTGGAACTTTCCAAAATGTTACTATTTATCTGATTCAGGCTCAGAGTCACATAGGCAATTTTACTGTCCTGCTTCCATTAAGTAGTGCAAAAATCAGTAAGTGGTGGTCTAATGCAGACACACAACAAATAAAACAGTAAAAGTCATGATGTGAAATTGTAAGGAGAGAAGAAAGCCTACCTTAAATAAATTCAATTCAACAAACACTAAATTAGCCCCCTGCTATATGGAGATCCTTGGGAAGATAAAAGAGTGAATTAGGCACAGTATTTGTACATTAGGAACTCTCAGATTTTGATTGAAGGAAACCAAAATATTTCTCTCCAAAATAGTGAGCACTGTTGAATTACAAACACTGAAAACACAGGGGAACACTCTGTCTCAGGCTCTGCTTGCCTGATAGCAGGCCATCAATCCTTCCTTAAGACAGAACTTGCTTATCAGCCCAGAGAAGTCACCAGAGAAGTTTTCAGGAGGCACCAGAAAAAATTGCAGACACATTTTACTATCTTCCTACATTTTCCTACCTTTTGAAAGACTGAAACTGCTCTCTCCTTTGTCTTTCTACTATATCGGATTGATGGTTCTTTGTTGAAATACTATTTAAGCAAGTCCCCTAAGTCACTGCCTTGGGAGAGAAATGCTTTTGAACTGAGGCCTCTCCTGCATGATGGGTACAGCATGCATTAATAAACTTCCATTTGTCTCTTTTGTTAATCCAATGTTTGTTTTCAGGAAACTCTCTCAACAGAGAACCTAAAAAGGAAAGAAAAGAAATTATGTTTTCTCCCCTACATAATAAATAAGCATGAGTTGCTTTTTATAAGAATGGGAGTATCCAGAACATGAGACTGTATCACGACAATAAGGATCACAGTCAGAGGGCTTGTCTCCATTGACATTTAAGCACCATGCTCTGAGCCCTGAGTCAGTGCTCAGTTGGAAAGCATGACCTCAAGTGGCATGTTGTGTTTTAGCCAAGAAATTGCAAATTTTACAGGACTTAACAAGTTTAATGGACCGTTCAACTTCTCCCTAGTATACAAGGGAGAGAGTATAAAAAGTATACAAGACTTTTTTATTTCAACATTTTTATATTTACCTAGATTTGTATAAAGTAGACACTTCCCAGACTTTGCAGAAAGTTACTAAACATTAGCTCGGCATAGCAAAATATTTCTAATATTATTGTCTTAATATTACCCACATAAATTGATTATAAATTTTTTTCTCCCACTGTGAGTAGTGTCATTTTTTAAAAACCTAATGCATTTCAAGAAAACAGAACATATTTATGATAGATAGTTCAGTTGGTATTTGCAATGTCCAAGTTGACTTGGAAAAATTGAAACTTACCATACTATTATTCCAAAATTTGATCTTAAGTGCCCAAAGTATGTTTAAATCTTAGCTTATAAAGTGCATCTGAAACTAAAATATTACAGATTTTTTAAGCTCAAGACTATATGTACAATCTTCTATCTGATTTGAAATATTTTATTTCAGATTTCAGTGGGGTTATCTTCAAATCTGGTATTTGTTGAAATGGTGTTTGTTCAAAAGTTGGACATTCTGTTACACATTATCTAATTTGGTGGCATTAGTAAGTGGTACCAAGTTTCCTGTGTGCAGTCTTTGTCCCTCTGCAAAACTCGTAAAGGGAATCCTAAGCAGACATCAGTTTAAGATTTTTAAAATTTTAGTGTACTAAAGTTTAAAAATACATAAGTTCTATCAAAGAAGGAAAGTAGAAAAGCACTGTATTTGCTTCAGGGACGTGATATGAACTCTTGCCTTATGTTTTAACTACATTTCAAATTGCAAGAAGTCAAAAAAGATAAAACTTTATGAGCTTATAGTTATTTCTTGTGCAACACTTGCTAGTAAAAATTCTTCTCTGCCTTCATTTATCTTTATTTTTAGTTTAAAAGCTAAAGCCAAGCCAGGAAGAGGAAGACAAGATGAGAAACCCCAAATCAAGGTAAACATTGCTTTAGCAAAGGATAGAATTGTGAAATAAACCAGAAGGAATATTATCATGCCTGTCATCTTGGTATCTCCCCCATTGCAAAAAAAAAACTTGCTTTCTCTTGATATTCTTTCTGTAAAATAGATACTGTTAGAGAAAATATTTCTGCATTCTTATCTTGTAGAAAAATGTGTCATACGTAATGTATTTCTTTCTCTTATTTCCAGCTGATAGAAATATGAAAGATATTTAAGCCTTGCCCAGACGTTGAACAGATTTCTTAATTAATACTGTAGAGGCTAAAACAAAAACACTTTAAAAAGGGCTTAAATTTTATAATCACCTGCACATTTTGGGCTACATCTGAGTTTCAAACTCATATGAAGGTTTCCGAAGATTCTCTATTTCTTCTTATTTTCAGGTATATATACCTAAGTAGAAGGTATTTCAAGAGCTTTTTTAAAAAGATGGGCAGGGCGCGGTGGCTCATGCTTGTAATCCCAACACTTTGGGAGGCCGAGGCGGGTGGATCACAAGGTCAGGAGATCGAGACCATCCTGGCTAACACGGTGAAACCCCATCTCTACTAAAAAGAATATAAAAAATTAGCCGGGCATGGTGGCGGGTGCCTGTAGTCCCAGCTACGCGGGAGACTGAGGCAGGAGAATGGCATGAACCCAGGAGGCGGAGCTTGCAGTGAGTGGAGATTGCGCCACTGCACTCCAGCCTGGGCGACAGAGCGAGACTCCACCTCAAAAAAAAAAAAAAAAAAAAAAGATGGCATTTTGGCATCTTTGCTTCCAGCAGTATTTGGTCAAAGAGGTTCTTTAAAAATTCTATCAACTTTGCATTTCATGAAAGTGGCTAAAAAGAAGAGTCAAAAGCATAGCATTTAAAATATTTTTATTCTATTCAATTCTGGAAAAAAAATGTTGATGGCCTGAAAGGCAAAGATAATTACTACATGATACTAAATATAAAGCACTAAATTTCTTCAATTAAACTGAAATTTTTGATTATTTTAATGAGGGAATCAAATCAATGGATTAGTTAACAAAAATAATTGATCTATTATAGGGACAAAAAAGCAGGAATTGAATAAACAACAGTTGCCATTGGAATACTTATAGTAGTAATAAACTTTTAATAAAAGTAATAAAGTTTTAATGTACAAATTATTAGGATTATAAAATATTCCACTATTTTGTATTAACTGAAGATGATAAAATATGGGAAAATCACTTTTAATTTAGTAAAATTGCTACTCAAAGTTAATTTTTTTTTTTTTTAAAAAAGGGTGCTTGCTAAGATAGTTTTCTCTTCAAGTTAACGGTATATAATAGACACAGTTTTGAAGTAACTCACACTAAATACTTACTTTACTATTGCCTCCTTCATTGCCTCTCAAGTAGACCTGGTCTAGCCCATTCATGGAAAAAAATAATAAATCAACATATCATAACTTGGTAAATATATGAAGCTGAATTCAATTCACCCATCTGATGAACCTGACAGTTAAATTTAAGGAAAATGTCTATCATGTTCCCATGAATTCACAATGAATGACACTGCCCAGTTGTTACATATAAGCTAACTCATCACACGTCTCCACATGCAGACACTTGGCAGTTTTGGTGTGATCAAATAAGCAACAAATTAGTTGTGTGTCAAAAAAGAAAGGAAAAGAAGAAGAAAAAGGAATTTTCTATATCAACATAAGTCCCATAGTAGCTTAACAAATTATAAAATACAAGAATTACAAAAGGCATAGTGGTGAACATAAACCAAAATACTGTAAAAGTTTCAAGAGTTGCTGAAGTTAGATTACTTTGGTTGGTTTCTGCCTTGTGTTCCCTGCCTTTTTTCTTCTCCGTCTTCCTGCCTGCCACTCTATCCCCTAGTAGCCACATACAGGCTGACCCAGAAGATCATGGTAGGTTAGGAAGTAGACCAGGAAGCTCAGCTCACCACGGAGTGGCACTTAAAATGAAGTCATGTTACCAAGAAGACATGATGTTTTGTATGCCTGGATTAAGCCCTATTAACTAGTGTGGGATTTTTAACATTCCCTTCTGTTCTAATTTTCCTGGATACCTGACTTATTTAAAATACCAAATCTGACTCAAACCATCTTTCTTTCCCTAGCACTGCATCTCAATTGCTGTGCCCTATCCACTGCCTGATGCTCTGTTGTGATTGGACAGATTGCCCAGAAATCAGGACGAAGCATCTCACTATCACCCGAGAAATAATAAGTCAAAGGATCTTTCACTGTTGTCCCTTATTTATTCATTCACCCATTTGTTCGTTCATTCATCCATGTATTAATTAATACATTTATATATTTATTCAGTTTCTCCAATCAAAATTTTTTAAGTAGAATCACCAATAATTAGTAACTGATTGGACATAGCTGGAAATAAATGGAGAAGCCTTTACCAATTCTAGTTTTGATAAAATCCAGACTTTACCAAACAGGGAGTCAGATTACATCCCTCGATTTTGCACCCCTCTCCTTCCTGACTCCATGATACACCCTAGTAAAGGAATCTCTCTGTCTATAGCCTATTATTCTCTCTGCTCTCCATGCACTTCTTTTACAGCCTGTCTTTTATGCTGCTTAGGGAGGCTGCTTCCATTCTCATTTCACTTAACAATTCAGAGTGATAATTTCATATTAGAAGTTAAACCTATGTAAATTGCACAACCTTCTTTTTACTATTTAGTATAAATGGCAATTAAATTCCAAATTCCAAAAGCTTTCCTTAAAAGGAATAGTAACTGGATAAGCTAAATATCTTTAGGTATTTATAAAGCATAGTAAAATATTTAATCACCAAATGGAATTTGGTGTATATTTCTTATTTTCAGAAAATCTTTCTTTCTGTGGCTATTCTGTGATTTTATCATGTTACCCTTATAACAGAAAGGAAAAGCTTAATTTGGAGAATAATTGTATTAGTCCGTTCTCATGCTGCAAATAAGGACATACCCAAGACTGGGTAATATATAAAGGAAAGAGGTTTAATGGACTCACAGTCCAGCATGGCTGGGGAAGCCTCACAATCATGGCGGAAGACAAAGGAAGAACAAAGGGACGTCTTACATGGCAGCAGGCAAGAAGGTATGTGCAGGGGAATTCTCCATTATGAAACCATCAGATCTCATGAGACTTATTTGCTATCATGAGAACAGCATGGGGAAAACCCAACCCTGTGATTCAACTACCTCACACTGGGTCCCTCCCATGACACGTGGGGATTATGACAATTCAAGGTGAGATTTGGGTGAGGACACAACCAAACCATACATTTCTGCCCTTGGCCCGTCCCAAATCTCATGTCCTCACATTTCAAAACCAATTATTCCTTCCAACAGGCCATAAAGCTTTAACTCCTTGCAACATTAACCCAAAAGTCCAAGACCAAAGTCTCATCTGAGACAAGGCAAGTCCCTTCTGCCTATGAACCTGTAAAATCAAAAGCAAGTTAGTTACTTCCTAGATACAATGGGGGTATAGACATTGGGTAAACACACCCATTCCAATAGGAAAAATTGGCCAAAACAGAGGGGCTACAGGCCCTATGCAAGTCCAAAATCCAGCAGGACAGTCAAATCTTAAAGCTCAAAAATGATCTCCTTTGACTCCATGTCTCACATCCAGGTCACACTGATGCAAGAGGTGGGTTCCCATGGTCTTGGGCAGCTCCAAACCTGTGGCTTTGCAGGGTACAGCACTCCTCCTGACTGCTTTCATGGGCTGGCATTTAGTGTCTGAGGCTTTTCCAGGTGCACAGTGCAAGCTGTCAGTAGATCTACCATTCTGGGGTTTAGAGAATGGTGGCCCTTTTCTCACAGCTCCACTAGGCAGTGCTCCAGTGGGGACTCTGTGTAGGGGCTAGCACCCCACATTTCCCTTCCACACTGCCCTAGTAGAGGTTCTCCATGAGGGCTCTGCCCCTGCAGCACACCTCTGCCTGGACATCAAGGCGTTTCTATACATCCTCTGAAATCTAAGTGGAGGTTCCCAAACTTCAATTCTTGACTTCTATGCACCCGCAGCCTCAACACCACGTGGAAGCTGCCAAGGCTTGGGATTTACACCCTCTGAAGCCACAGCCTGAGCTGTATCTTGGCCCCTTTTATCAATGGCTGAAGCAGCCAGGACACAGGGTGCCACGTTCCTAGGCTGCACACAGCAGGGGCCACTGGGCCTGGCCCATGAAACCATTTTTTCCTCCTAGGTCTCTGGGCCTGAGATAGGAGGGGCTTCCTTGAAGGTCTGTGACATGCCCTGGAGACATTTTCCCCATTGTCTTGGATTAACATTGGGCTTCTCATTACTTATGTAAATTTCTGCAGCAGGCTTGAATTTCTCCCCAAAAAATGGGTTTTTCTTTTCTATTGCATCATCAGGCTGCAAATTTTTCAGACTTTTATGCTGTGCTACCTCTTGAACACTTTGCCACTTAGACACTTCTTCCATCAGATACTCTAAACCATCTTTCTCAAGCTCAAATTTCCACAAATCTCTAGGGCAGGGGCAAAATGCCACCAGTCTCTTTGCTATAGCATAACAAGAGTAACCTTTGCTGCAGTTATCAACAAGTTCCTCATCTCCACCTCAGACTACCTCAACCTAGACTTCATTGTCCGTATCCCGAGCAACATTTTGGTTAAAATCATTCATCCAGTCTCTAGGATGTCCCAAAGTTTCCCACATTCTCCTGTCTTCTTCTGAGCCCTCCAAACTGTTCCATCTTCTGCCTGTTACCCAGTTCCAAAGTCACTTCCACATTTTCAGGTATTTGTACAGCAGCACACTACTCTACTGGTACCAATTTACTGTATTAGTCTGTTCTCATGCTGCTAATAAAGACATACCTAGGCTGGGTAATTTATGAAGGAAAGAGGTTTAGTGGACTCAGTTCCACATGGCTGGGGAGGCCTCACAATCATGGCAGAAGATAAGGAGGAGCAAAGTGACATCTTACATGGCGGCAGGCAAGAGGACATGTTCAGGGGAACTACACTTTATAAAACCATCAGATCTCATGAGACTTATTCACTATCATGAGAACAGCATGGGAAAAACTCACCCCCATGACTCAATTTCCTCCCACTAGGTCCCTCCCATGACACGTGTGGATGATTACGATTCAAAGTGATATTTGGCTGGGGACACAGAGCCAAACCATATCAATAATGAAAAAAATGTAATGAAGAAATTATGCTTTTCAAAAATATGGCTACTTTTTAAAAGTTATCTTCAGTACACATCTTTTATTTCTATAAAGTATTTAAAACAAATACTTTGTATGTAAAACAGCTTTCCATGGAAAGTATGTGATTGATTGCCAGACAAGTGATAAAGACTAGCTTTGACATGGTCTTTTTCTTTTTTCAAACACGAGAGAACCCCATGTTTGAACGCACTAGTTCAAAGTCCACCTTGTCAGCTAACAATTGGTGATTAGAGGAGACTTAATCCCAGTGTAACTCCCAGAGGTATGCTGACAAAAAAACACTGGTGATTCTGCACTTCCTTCACATAAAAATCTATTCTAAAGAGGTTATTATAAAAGTCTTTTTTCATCCCCTGTATCTTTGAAGAAGTTAGGAATGATAACTATTACCTTTTTGATTATGAATTTACAAATAAATACTAAGTGGAAAGTGTTCATTTTCCTGGCTTAATTATGTCCAGACAAGGCATAATTTTTTACACTGGTCTGCACAAAGCCTAGGTCTTTTTTCTAAGATGTTGGAAAATCAAGTGAAAAAGCATTTTAATATCCCTGTTCTAATTTTCTCTAACTGTTCTTTCTTTCTGAAAACATTGAAAGCTAATAAGACATAAAGAGTTGACCTTAGTTTCAGAAAAAGTAAATTCGCATGCAATTTATTAGGCATCTACAATCTGTTTTAATGATACCAACATTGGCCAATGCCACCTCTTAACAATGAAATTATCCAAAATTTCTGTGTTCTCTATGTCAAAAAGATAAACATCTGTTTATGGCAAACATACAGTTTCCCTACAAACATATAACTATGGAAATAAAGTCATTGGAAGGAAAAATGATCATGCTCAGTATACTGGAGCATGACAGCCTGGTTATCCTGGCTCCACTGTTGGATGTCTAGGATGGCTAATTTTATTCAGAACCTGATGCCCTCTTTTGAGGGAAGAACATCTCAGATAGACCCTTGCAGCCAGTGTCTTTCACTGTAAGTCTCAGGATAATCATCACCTCAATTTCAGTTTCACTGATCTCTGGCCTCCAGCACTTTCTTTCTGCTGTCAGTTTCCTTGGCATTCCACAAGTGGAACCAGAATTCAGATTTGTTTTATTTAGATCAAAGATCAGCAAACTTTTTTTGTGAGAGTCCAGATAATGGGGCCAGGAGCAGTGGCTCACGCCTGTAATCCCAGCACTTTGGGAGGCCAAGGTGGGCGCAGTAGGTCAGGAGATTGAGACCATCCTGGCTAAAATGGTGAAACTCCATCTCTACTAAAAATATAAAAAATTAGCCGGGCGTGGTGGTGGGTACCTGTAGTCCCAGCTACTTGGAGGCTGAGGCAGGAGAATGGTGTGAACCCAGGAGCCAGAGCTTGCAGTGAGCAGAGATCATGCCACTGCACTCCAGCCTGGGCAACAGAGCAAGACTCTGTCTCAAAAAAAAAAAAAAAAAAAAAAAAAAGTCCAGATAATGAATTTTTTAAGCTTTGCAGGCAAAGAGGCAAAATCATGGAAATTACATAGATGTTACATAATCAGAGAGAAAACAAATTTCCACATATTTTTAATTGATGAAATTTAAATATAATAACAATTATAATTGAGTACTACAGCATTCAAGTTATTTTGAGTACTGCAAAATAATATGTATATATATTTTTTTACTTTTTTACTTTGTACCGAAATGAATTGAAATAATTTTAATACAAGTCTAATAATGAGAAGAATGGAGTTCCCCCTTTTGGGGGTTGCAGGTAACATTTGCTTAACTGAAATTCCTAGTGTTTTCTCTTATCAAAATCAGTTACAAGTATCATCTGTTAATGCTATCCATAATGAAATTTTATAGATTTTGTCTTCCAAAACATCTTTTAGCACAGATGGCACTGCCAAATACTGTTATCAATCCACCAGCATATGATTTTAATCATAATTAAAACTTGAAATATATTAACACACTCCTATTAGAGTCTTTTGATATTTGGCTTTTAGCGTGTCACTACATTTTGGATGAATAAGTTCTAATTGAAGGTTAGGTGACTAATTGAAGGTCAGGTGAAAGCTTCTCAATGTCTTAGTGAAATATATTTTGAAATATGAAATTTCCTTTTCATTTGCATCAAGGTCTAAAGAGTTCTGCTGAAACTGCAGTTTGAGTTCAAAGAACATATGCACTAAATATTCATATGAGGATGAAAATCTTGACTGTTGCTTTAACTTTTGCCAACATGTGGTTCAAAATTGTCATTTGAGAAAATATTACTTGCCAAAATGACTTTATTGCAGTATCGTTCACATATAAACTCTAAATTCCCTTGTAATTTTAGATTGAATTAATTAAGTAATCAAGTCTGCAGTAACAGCAAATTTCCAAAGCTGTTTAGTATTAAATAATACTGATTCAGGGCAATTATTCTTGTTCAAGACAATGTCAAAAGCTTAGTAAATTTGTCCAAATAAGCCATTTTCTGCTCTACACTTTTGTTTCCATCATTAGTTATAACACATCTTAGCAGATACCACTTCAGATTTTACTGAATTGTTGCTTTCTCAATTTTTTTGGAAAATATTCTCTCCTGTAATTATCCCACATGAACTGTTCATACACACTAATTCTTCAGTCATCTCAAACTTGGCATTAATTCCTCAAGTGAAAAACAACTCAGTAGTTTTGGTAACCCCTGTTAACTTACCAAGAGCCAAAACTAACCACTAAACACAATTTCCTTTGTTTTTTAATTGACTATTGACATTGCTCCCAATGTCCTCAACTCTTTGAACTGTTATTCTCATTAAAAGGCTAATAATCTTCAGTAGAGTTTTCTCTAGGCAGATATTAACTATAGCTGCAATCAAATGTGATTTAATTAATTCACAATTTGTAAATGAATTTCCTTGACTAACAAATGAGCAATGTGCACATAAACTTTGGTCACAGTCTGATTTTCATTTTTTATTTTTGTGAAGAAATTCTGCTGTGACAAAATAGTCCATGTTAAATTTTTTTGTTATTGCCTTTTTTGTGATTTGGAAGAATACTGTAGTGCATGCATGGTTTTTGGTGACACTGATGTATATTGCATTTTATCACAGCTGTAGTGTCATTGCATAATAAATACAACCCTTCACAATTGAATTCAATAATAAAATAACCTACATTCCATTGTGCCTCAAAGGTACAACTTTCAAACCCCCATTTTCTCTTCTTTTCTTCTTTTGACATAATAAATACCCATTGACAATTTATAAAAATTATGTTGTGGTGGAGCAATATGCATGACATATTGAAATGCTGTTGAGTTACAATTGCATCACTGTGATCTGTAGTACATTGAGCAGGAGTGTGAAGTCATGAGAGTGTCACATATGGTTTCTATTGTCATTACTTAACTTTGCCAGTATAGCACAAAAGCAATGGTATATAGTACATGAACAAATGAGTGTGGCTGTGTTCCAATATTATTTTATCTGTAGATAATGAAATTTGAATTTCATATCATTTTCAAGTGTCACCAGATATTATCTTTTTGAGTTACTTTCAACCACTTAAAAATGTTAAAAAACCGGCCGGGCGCCTTGGCTCATGCCTATAATCCCCGCACTTTGGGAGGCTGAGGCAGGTGGATCACAAGATCAGGAGTTCGAGACTGGCCTGGCCAATATGGTGAAACCCTGTCTCTACTAAAAATACAAAAATTAGCTGGGCATGGTGGCGGGTGCCTGTAGTTCCAGCTGCTTGGGAGGCTGAGGCAGGAGAATCACTTGAACCTGGGAGGTGGAGGTTGCAGTGAACTGAGATTGCGCCACTGCACTCCAGCCTGGGTAACAGAGAAGACTGTCTCAAAAAAAAAAAAAAGTTAAAAACCATTCTTAGCTCATGGATGTACAGATGTACAGAAAGAGGCAAAGGGCCGGGTTTAATCCATGGTTCAGAGTTTGCAATCCTATTTAGACCAAAAATTTCACATGGCTGCCATTTCTATTTTCATTCATTAGAAGAAGAAAGAGGAGAAAGAAGAGGAGAAGGGAAAAGAGGAGGAGGAAAAACAGGATAATTTTTAAATGTCTGAGCTACTTAATCTTCCTCCTGTCCATGTTGTGGAGAGAAGGAGAGATAGAAGAGGAGAGGAAGGAGTAGGGGGAAGATTAGGTATTTATGTACATCTCAGTAAAGCCTGCTCCTCGTGGTCATAGTTCACTTTCTATCTCTAGAATCACACTTGAGCCCCTCGTGACTCTAATTTTGTACTGAAAATATGAAATAACTCACTTCTATAGTCCCAAAGTCAGATTTAGAATAAGTATGTTTTAGGATTATTAGTCATACAAATACTTACTGATTTGTTCTCCATACCTCAATTTAAACCATAAAATGAAGCTGCAAAATGTTTGTAAATTTTCAAATGTCTGGGCTACTCATTCTTATCCATGTTCACATTGTGGGTATACATTTTTGTGCATGTGTTATATATAAACTGGAGCTCTCTCCATTTCTACCTCTGCTCTCAAACATATACCTTAGGAAGGAGAAATCATAAGGAATTTGATTGGAAATACTACTTTGCAGGAAGGGAAACTAAGGCTAAGCAATTTATACTTAGTATGATGTCTTTTATAATGACACCACACTCAGTGGGGCATAATATTAAAAAAAAAAAAAAAAAAAGCCTCTTAGAAGAATAATGGTGGAGTCTATTGTCCTAAAAAGGACAGGACAAAATAAAGCTAAATAACCATAGCCTTTCATTTCACATGTGCATATATATATATCTGTCATGAGACATATATATATGCATTTGCTTTGAATACGAGATTTCATTTTCTAATCTTAGTGACCACTTTGATGAAGATTAACTACCAGATGATCTAGTGTGAAAAAAAGCAAATTTTCCTTTGGAGTATGTACTGAACCTGAACTGAAACTCATATTTACTTATAATCATGTAATTAGAATGCATCCCATCTTCCTGAACAAATGAGATCCTTATAAACATTTAAACTAAGTCAGAGGTGCCATTTGAGTTGGTAGGCATGGAACAGACCAAAAAGGGAAACTTCTACCTGCTGAGGAAAGTAATAAGATTTCCTGAAAAGGGGATAAAGGACTGAAATAAGAAACATGAAAAAGGACTTCTTTAGGAAAATGTGATTTTTCAAATGAAAGAAGGAAGTTGTAAAGGAGGAAATTTTGCAAGGACTTAAGTGTGGAAATATAAAGAAGTAACTACATTAACTACACTGCAAATAGTTCCAATCTCCTTCTTTCTGGTTGTATTACCACCTAGAAATTTGCCCATCTCCTTATGACCTTTGCATATCAAAACGTTTAATGTGGAGGCTGATAATTGAAGGTGGTGTAAGTTAGGAGGATAGACTGAGAAATGGACAGAAGAGATGATAGGGTATCCTTTCAGTGGGATATGGGGTGATTTTAGACCTTTTGGGGGATAATCCAATTTAAGAGTATACTAAGCTATTTTGCTACTCAATAGGGGTAGGAAACTGATCACTTATAGGAAACTACAGGTAATTCAGATGAATCTTTTCCATAACTATGCAAATAAAATTGATACTTCAGAAATACAATCAATTTAAAGGTTTATATTTCATAGTCTCAAAGTGTGATTCACCGTCCACATGTGACCCAGAGATCCATTCCAGAGGCCTAAAAGATCAAAACTATTTACATAATAATACTATGATGTATCTGCCTTTTTCACTTCTACTCTTTTACAAGTTTACAGTGGAGTTGTCCAGCTACAGACATATGATATCACCACAGATGATTGCCAAGGCAAATATGAGATTCCAGATGTTTTCTATTAAGCTAGACATTAAGGAGACTTGCAAAAATGTAAAACAATGCCACCCTTCTCACTGCATTTGTGTCAGTTTTAGAAAATATGACCAATTTTCATAAATATATTACTTAAATTATAATATAAAGTACTATCTGCCACCTCAAGATTATATTGTCATTATATTTCTTCTAGTAGTTCAGTGTTTCAATTTTCTATTATTAATTTTCAGTACATTTGGAACTTACTCTGCCGTGTGGCATGAGGTAGGGATCTAACTTTTTTTTCCAAGCCATCAGCCAGCTCATTTACTAAATAATCTTTTCTTTCTCAGTCATTTAAAATGGCACCTCTATCATATATTAGAGTCCTTTATATACTTATATGTTTCTGGATCTTCTAGTGTATTACATTAATTTGCCTCTATCCTAATACCAGTAATAAACTTTAAAAATTATTAAGATTGTATAATCTATTTTAATGTATAGTACGGCAAGGAAACCCTCACTATTCTTTCTCGCATTTCTTTCCCAAAAAACATTCCTCTTAAAGAAAGCAAATATGTTCAAAAATTGCAAGTAAATGTATGAATTATGTGTAAGCTGTTAGCAAAGCATTGAGTAGTCTTTAGATGGAGTTGAAACTCAGTCTACTAAAACCCCAAAACCCATAATGAGCAACTACTATGTGCCACAGAGGTGCTTTTTAAAGCTTTAAAAAGTGCTTTTTATTAACATATATGTTGGTTTTGGTATAAGCAATTTTTCTTAGCATCTCAACTCATGTTTTAGTCTTGCATGGAATATAAGATATCCAAAAAGTATTAATGTATCATTTCAAGATTTATCTATATTTAGTTTTTCCCAAATCACAAGCCACTATTTTTATAATTAATTATTAGTTTGAAAAGAACAAGAGTTCTAATATATTTTTCATTTTCAGCAAGATTGCTATCTGGTGTGCTAATTATAACAATTATTGTTGTTCAAAAACAAAGCACCACAATTTTCTCTGTTCCATTTTGGGCGATTAGGTTGTCAGGAATATGTAGAAACTTGTCTTGGAAGTTTCCTCACCTGTTCCTTTGTAATAGCAGTGAAGAATGGCTTGATAAGAGACAACACAAATTGGCAATGTCATAAAAGATTTCATTCTCTAAAATCATATGTTAATTTTTTGCGTAAAAGATGATACATATTAACAAATAACAATTAACTACCTTAAGTGTAAACAAATGCAGAAAAGCAGCAACAGTAATAGCTGTACCATTTTAGGAACATTTGAGTGGCTACTCTATAGTTCCCTGTCATTCAAATTATTCATCCATTTATTTGTACTAAATATTTTCTTAATGTCTCTTTTAAAAGATTTTAATGGTTTTTTTAGTTTAATTTATGTAATATGAAGCTACATATATAATATCTATATGTTTCTTTATACAAATGTTTCTTTACTCAGTTCTTCAGGCTTTCTATATAAAATGTCTTAGCATAGCTAAGTTATTCCACATTTTACTGCCTTTGAAATTCCAAGAAGGGTTTCCTGTACTCTGTTGGCCCTTTTTCACTTTCTTTCTGTTCTTTTTCCCCTCAGATTCTCCTGGGCAGTAATATCAAATAGCCATGAGGACATCTGATATTTCCAGAGAGAGGATTTTGTTGTTGGTGGAGGGGGGAAAAACAACAAAAGACCTTTTTGGAAACAGGAAATCATTTTAAATTGACCACATTTAGCATTCCAAAGCTAGAAGCTTTGGAAAGTTTTATTTTATTGCTTTTTGATGTCAGCCTAATGCAGGGTTCCATACTTAGTCTGGATGTCTTAGAATTATTACTTTAGAAAGCGATGCATAAAAACATTCTGCAGAATTGCAGCCTTATGTATGTGCCAATAGTTCTATCCACCTATCTATCTAGTTCCTCCTAAATAAGCTTTGTATATAAAACAAGACTTATATATTGCAAACAAATTCAATGAGTGATAATAAGCAGTGATTTATAGTATAAGATGAAGGAAACTATACTGGTACTCTGTGGATAATTATTTTAATATATGATATATTTGGATTTATGGGCTTGCTTCTAGATATGCAAATTACTTCTATGAATTATAAAATGTTTAGAAGACAATAAACATGACAACATAATTATAATGTGTTAATTTAGTTTATATGGAGACAATTGACAATAACATTACTTTGACCCAAGTAATCCATGTTTAAGTCATAGAATCTATAGAAAACTGATTGAAATATAATTAAAGAGAGATAGATAACATTCCCTCTATACTTTGCTTCTCTCTACTCAAAGTGTGAAATCTTAGACAACAGAGAAGAAAATTAGTAAATTACCCTTTTCCCAATTTTTAAATTTTTGGTTGCAATGGGCAGAACTTGTGGAGAAAGTTGAAACACAGGCTAAGTGCTCATCATTTTTGGAAGATCTTTTTTAATGCATTCTAGGATTACTTAAGTTCCTTTTACATGACCATATGGGAAACTAAAGGAAAACCAAAGATACATCAGCATTTATTTCCTATATGTATCATGTATACATGAGGCAGATAAAGAATTACCATCTCCTCTGGTAAACTGAATTTGTACCTGCCTAAGAGAGAATGAATGACTCTACAATCAAATACTCCAAGGCTTGAGCATCCTGGCATCAATAACAGTCAAGAGAGCCCGCCCAAAGGGAAAGTGGAGTCCAGCACACTGTAATCTGCTTCCACCCATGAAAGGCACTGAAGAGAACATCAGGCCCTGTGTTATTACATAGGTCAAATTCCCAATGCTATTATGGGAAGCTCTGAACACAGTGGTTGTTTGGAGGAGCTCCAGAGGAAGTGCCTCTCCTTACCCCATTGTATGTTCTTGTCACAGAAATCCCATCTGTAGTATTCACTATTGTATCTACAGTGTGTACAACATTGTGATGTTCAATGAATTGAGAATATAATAAATGTTATAAACTGACCCATAGTGATAATCACACTGAGCATTCCAGTCTCAAAGAGACCCAGGGTCAAGCTGAAGATTTTATAGGGCTCTACTGGGAGATGACCATCACAGGAGCTATGCCTGGCAAGAATCCACTAGTAACCACAAGTCACTGAGTACAGAGGGAAGTATGAGAGACAGCAGAAGGAGACCTGCCTTGAGTTGCATCTTTTGCTAACCGGAATTGCCTTTGAAAGCCTAAATCCCAAAGCATAGTTCCCTGCTCTCTGCTGTGTTGCAAAGATTTTAAGTGGCAGATTTGGAATTGAAGGGACAAAGGGAAAAGTGTAGAAAAAGCAAGTGACTCATAGTGTGCCACTCAATTTAGAGCAATGTAGCATGCACTTTTTGTGGATTCACTATGAGTTTGGCAAAGTTGTTAATCCACATCTCTTTTTGTGTCTCAGTTTTACACATCTATAACTTTAATTGTCAGCTCTCTGAGGTTTGGGGGAAGGACTGACTTAACCCACATAAACCTGGATTATACCAGAATCAATGATTCCATTACTGAAGAGTTTTTAAGATCAATAAGTTGCTCTGGGTTAATTACACAAGGACATGCATAAACATGGTTCAGAGTATCCATTTCATATTTTTTTTCCTGAAGTATTCCCTGGCTGGAAACTCTACTTATGTTCATTTTCTCCAGCTCATTCCCTCACACTAGGTACCTCCATTCAAAAAAGATCCATCTATGTAAAGGTCATTTTCATTATATTACAATGAAATTCATTCCAGGAATAGCGGTATTCACAGGCTGCTATAATAGTTGTTACAGGTGGATTTCCTGCTGAAGAGTCATATTCTCCTAAAAGGAGGTTACAAATTTCAAGGAAAGCAAGCTCTGCTAGCTAGACTGACAAGTCCTGAAATGGGTATTGCCAGGTGAAATTGTCTTCTTCATCCTAAACCACTGTTTACCAAAGAATGTGGACTGCCTGTTGAAAATTACAGCCTCAGAGTTTCCTTGGACTATGCTAGAGGCAGATTTTCCAAGTTCAGTGTTCTCAGTGTGCCAGCTTAACCTCTTAAGTTCATACTGTGTGATAAGTGAGAGCCCCGTGTAAATCCTCTTGGCTACTCTTTTTTTTTTTCCTGAAGAATCCACATCTTTACACTTAAAAATGAGTTTTCTGGGATTGTGAACTGCTCAATCATTGGAAATGTGTTCACAGAACTAATCAAGTGAAAAAAAGTGGTGGCTGTAATGAATTTAATATAAAACCTCAAGAGACTATGTCTGATTTCTTGCAAATGAACTGAGGTGGATAACAATGTCAACCTCTGTATGCTGAGATTTCTTGCTACTGCCAGTAAGATGATATCATTCTTTAGCCAAATTCTATTTTACTTATTAATGAAAATTCTGGAAGATATAGAAAACTAGAATGAAAAAGGAAACATCCATAATCTTATATTCTCAGTCAACTATACTGATATATTTATATTTGTCTGTCTAGCAAAATCCATTTTCTATATATGTGTTCTGTGTAGTTATATTGTCAAGCTAATACTTATGGAGCATTTGTTAGCCATATTCCCTAGATTTTCCACTTACTACTTTATTTTATCCTCACCCAAATTCTATTAATTAGTTTTATGTTTTACAGATAAGGAAACCGAAGTTCAGATAAGTCCAGTGAAAGCCCCTAACCACAAAGTTAGTAAAGGAAATATTGAGATTCACATCCATGTCTGTCTGGGTTCAATAACCATCTGTTAGCTGTTACTTTGTATAGCCAATAGTGTAAGGAATGTGTCAAACACAAAAATGTTTGAGAATGGATCATCCCCAACAATAACAACCACTTTAAGAGCAAAAATACTGAGTTGCATTCCTTGAAAAATGTTAACGTGTGCAATTATATTCAACAATGCTAGAGACCACTGAGAACTAAGTATCTTCCTAAAGCAAATGTCGCCTTTCATAGTCAGAGATATTTGGCAACCCTAACAGAGTCACATGCATTCATTTCTTCCATGTGCAGAAGCAAACAGATGTGCATACACTGCAAAGCACAAAGGAGCTTGTCCTGGAGACTATTTTGTCCCAAACGTGACATTCAAGTCCTCTGGGGAAATATGAAGTCATTGGCGTTGTATGCAGTTATAGCAAGACCTCAAGGGGTTTTAGTAGTTTTGGTAAAAAACATATGGATAATTATTAAGAAACAGTATAAAGCCCAAATATACTTACTTTGACTTAAAATGAACTGGAATAATTGGATTCAGATTTTCCCAATGACAAGGGTGATTATACAGAGTTTAGCTTGAGCTCAGGAGTTAGGTGGCACATGTTGAAAATGACACCTGTATCAACACCCGTTCTTTGCCTTTCTTCCTCTGAAAAGTTGGGATAATAACACTTTTGAGCACCATTGTGAGAGAGAGTGCATAATCCATGTAAAGTACTCAGGACTGTGCCTGACTCAGAGTTTGCATTTAAGAAATGCTAGCAATTCAACACTAGAACAGATTAGTTAATGGAATCCTTGAGAACATATTTTTCTCTTTCTTTGTAATGGATTTGGTATAGTATAGTATTTCTTTTCATCTTTCAGTGTATGACTTAAAATTCTAGAAAAAAGCTCTGGACATACATAATTTAAAAACATTGTAGACTTTCATCTCATTTTTCTTTATACGAGACTTAAGTCTTCATGATTTGATTAACATTAAGAGCTCTCACGCTCTTTTCTCTTTTGCCTCAGTTGCCCAAGTCATTTAAAATACTGATCATACACCTTTATTCTGTTTATTAGCTTTGTGTATCTCTGATCTTATAGTATCAAGCCATTTTTTTCTCTGTCTTTTTAATACTTTATTGAGAAAACTCCAAATCACAGTGTTTAAAACTACAAAATTAAAGTGATTAGGCACAGAAAAAATGATTAAGCCAAATGATCATTAGAGAATCAGAAAAGAAGCCTGTACACCTTCATACTGCCCCTTAGTTGGTACGTGACTTGGGCAAATCACTCATGATTCCCCGGTTCAGCTTTCTTATCTGTAAAATGGAGATTATAATATCTGTCAGGCCTTTCTCCAAGGATATTGCGAAACAAGATAGCAAATGTAAAAACTCTCTGTGTACTCTATAGATTGAGGGCATGAAAGCTTGTTTATTTAAGCTGTGGGATATGCGAAAGCTCTGTGTAAACTATAGAGTGCAAAAGTGCACATGACATTGTATGGGAGTTTATATATTTAATCCCTCCTGATGGAGACACTGTGCTATGATCTGGGGTTTTGCAACATGGTAGCAGCTTTCCAGGAAAGGGAGTTTGCAGCTCTAAGTAGAATCTGATAAGAGCCCAATAAGTGATCTTGAGAGTGTGTACTCTAGGTGTCCAGGGAAGGAAAGGAGAATCAGGGACTGACTGAGCTCTTAGGAAACACCTACAAAAGAGGTGGGTTTCTGACCCTTGCATTAAATATTGGGTAGGATGGAAATAAATGGAGGACAGAAGGGGGTGTTCCAGATGGGAGGAACAGCCAGATCAAATATGTACAGTGGTGGAAGAGCACCAAGGTTGAGCAATGGACTGATTTGAATGAGGCAGAACCTTCCTGTAGGGAAGCAATGAGAAATGAAACTGGCAAGGCTGAGAGAGGCTCAATGGGAGGCCAATATAATGATGTACTTTGTTAACACATCACATTTGAAAGGAAGGCCACTGAAGGATTTTTTGAACAGGAGAGTGACGTGGTAAAAACTGAACTGTAGCTTCAGACAAACCCATTTTTAATCCAAACTGGCCTTTTAGCCTATATTTTCTTAGGCATCACTTACTGGACACACATGGTACAGTGGAAAAAGTGTGAGACTCGGAGTCATGGGAGGATCTTTGGAATGTAAGACCTCTTTTCTGGACCTACCTTTGGGCCAGCATGGCAGGCAAAGCCATTGCCTCATATCCTGCTCTTTCCCAACTCTTCTGGAACCATTTCTGCCACATTCTTGCTTCATTGAATTTCTACCAGTGTCCTCCAGGTTAAGAGTACAAAAAAAGGTTAAAAGATGTTTTCACTGAAAAGTCTTCAAAGAGATTTGAAACTGTCCTGTCTGGTATTAATTCTTTTTCTATTCCTTTATTGCTCAATCTTGTTTCGTTGGTCATGTTGTGTTTCAGCATTGAGTGTGCTATTACATCACAATTAGAAGCATATGATTACATTTTAAATGACCATTTCCTGTCCAGATTCATCACTAAAATGGCCTTTATAGTTAGTAAATTCCAACCCACATCTAATGCTATTTTAACATCAGATATGTTCTTACTATTTAGAATTATCTTAAGCCACGCTTTTACATGGAGAGTTTGCAAATCTTTTTTTTATGTGTGGAAGCTTATGTTAATGATGTCTTTGGCCCTTTCTGGGCCAGAAATATTTGGTTCTTAAGGTATTAGTGGATTCCCCATAGATTATTTAGGTTATGACATGCTAGCGATAAGATTTTTCTTCACTTTTAACTAGGGAAAATAAACTCATTCTGCCTATCTGCTCTCTGTTTCTCAAAACTGGAAAGAGGAATAAACTTGTTTTTACATATTCCTTGATTTTTACCTTGGCCTCTAGAGAGTGGCAGAAACTTGTCACTCCATATACACGTGTAGATTTGGAACCAACATTTTTAAAATCATTCTCCACATAATCTAATTTGTACACAAAGGGCAAGTCTGCTATAACTGCCAAGCCAATAAACAGGACTGAATCTAGTCTCCTAGCAAAATGATCAATACGGTATCCCCTTAAAGTGTAAAATAGAATTGTGGGGAGCCTAGATCGCTACAGTAGAGAATCAACCATCTCAGTTTCTATTTCTTTCTCATAGACATTAAATATAACTTTAGTCGAATTGTCTCAATTTCAAGAATGTATTATTTTATTTTTCACATTGTGAAATGATATAGATATTTGATGTCCCAAACAATCATGGTCTGTCTATGGAGCAATGTGAGATCCTTAAAAAACAAGTAAACAATGGTGGAAATGCCTATGGTAATTTGAATCTGGAAACTATGATAATATCATTGCCATCTGAGTTTTAAGTTGTTATAAATGAGAATGGATTTAGAACAGTGTTACTATGAATTTATTCCCCATGCCATAATCAGTAACATTTTATAGATAAAAAAGGATGTTTCAAAATGGTCTTTTAGGGTAATTACTTGTAGTTTATTGTTCTTACACGAAAAATGCTCAGAGCTTAAATTTTCTGAAACTGGACAAGATGGCCAACATGTATTCCTCAATTTTCAACTAAATTGGTTATGCTCTGTTATGATATCTCTTTGGAGAATCATTCAGATAAACCCACTCTCTGTTTCAAATAAAAGGTTGAGGTAATTAAAAGAGATTTTTATAAAAACAACTCTCATCCCTGTTAAGAAAATCAGGAATCATTACTGACATGAGATATAAAAAAAAAACCTCATGGACTCCTTACAAGACTAAAGATCTCTCTTGCGACTTTTTGAAAGCCATACTTTGAATTGCATTTTCAAAGCCAGCACCTCCCCCAGATGACGAAATAAATTGAAAACCGAATGTTTTCAATCAAAGAAAGAATTCTCATGCTGGAAGGGAGAGGAAATAGAAAGATACCATTCTTACGATTATACTTAATTCCAAGTATAGTTATCAATTCTCACCTTTTAAACTCAAGAAGTCATTAATATTTGTACATGCCTATGGCATGGTCTAATGACACAAAAGACATGGTCACTGGTTACATTCATTATGTATATATTTGTGCATACATAAAATGTATGAGAATGGATGTGTAATAGCAGAGTGCATGTTAAGAACATAAAAATAAAGGTACATTTTACTACTGTCACAGCAGTGTACACATAAATTAAAAACTAGAGTCTATGGATTAATTAAACCAGATAGTTCAAGAAAAGATAATATTGCATCATTTGGAAGAAGGATAGGGCTGGGTGTGGTGGTTTACACCTGTAATCCCAGCACTTTGGTATGCTGAGACCGTCCAATCTCTTGAGGTCAGGAGTTCTCTGAGACCAGCCTGGCCAATATGGCAAAACCCTACCTCTACTAAAAATACAAAACTTAGCCAGGCATGGTGGTGCATGCCTGTAGTCCCAGCTATTTGGGAGGCAGGCTGAGGCATGAGAATTTCTTGAACCTGGGAGGTGGAGGTTGCCGTGGGCCAAGATGGCACCACTGCACTCCAGCCTGGGCAATAGGAAAGTGGTTTTGCAGAGAGGAAGCAAAAAAATACCATTGTGTCATTTACGTCTGTGTGACCCCTTGAGCTACTCTCCTTCCTTCTTCATCTGTCCTTGGCCTCAAAAATGGACCTGCATTGGTCACATCCCCGCCCCCCCCCCCCACGCCCGCCCCATGCCCTGTGGCTTTGTACTGTTTCATTTGAGGTTCTGTTCACTTCTCTGTTTCCTCAACACTTTCGGATTAAGAGTGGTAACAGTTCACTGCTGCTGGCCGCCACTCCTGACCTATCTGTGGTGATTTACTTTCTTTCCACTCAAACATTCATAATCTGTTACTTTTTAAATAAATACTCATCTAATTATTTCTATTCTGCTGGGAATTTGGCTGATACATTAATTGGTACTAGAAGTGGCCCCAGGAAACAGATCTCTTGAAAGGAGATCCTAGGATTGGTACATCATATCTTTGAGGAGTACAGAGATAATTTTTTTTGCTGGGGGTGAGAGGAGTCAGATAAGGTATATGGCATATGAGAGCATCATAAATACTCAAGTTATCTCTGGTGGTTGCACATGGGATAATGTCCTAGCGGAGATCAAGTGGTTGTGGCACTTAGCTGTTCTAACAATTAAGATTATTGAGTCACTTAATTTCTTCTTACAGTTCTACAAAATATACATAGGGAAAAAGAGTTATAACTATAAACATGTAATTAAGAAAGTACATATAGAGCCAGAAGGTTTTCTGAATAACTTGGGGTAGGCACTTCTCTCCTATAGTCACAGGGCAGATGCAGCTGACAACCAAGCTCAGGGTATGATTGTAAAGGTTACAAAGTTTTAGCACTAATTATAAACTTGACCTGCCAGGTCTCTTACGCTAAGTAAAAGGTAATTGTCAAGAAGCAATGAAACTCTGCCTCAATGGGTGAGGAAATTTTGGTAGATATAGATGAAGCTAAGAACTATGACTCTCAAATTCCCATAAACTTTCCTTGTCTCACAAGCAAATATTGACTCTTGTTTCAGACCCACTTCACCCGTAGGCCTATAATAAAAGTTGGAGCCCATTACAGACTGGACTGAGAGTACAAAGACTATTCACAAAAGGAGGAATGAATATTCAAGTCATCCCACTAGGTAAAAACCTCTCATCCAGCAGAAGTACTTCCAGATGCTAAGAGAGCTTGGAATTGGATGGTGGAAGCAGGCAGTTATGATCATCAATTTATGCTAGCGGCCAGCTACAGAGGGAGAATTTAGAAGTTATATTTTATGATACTCCATTATTTTTTACTTCCCTTTCCCTTGTATAGCAGGCAAGGCCTGCTGGTTCACGCCTGTAATCTCAGCACTTTGGGAGGCCAAGGTGGGAGGATAGCTTAAGGCCAAGTGTCCAAGATCAATCTGTGCAACATAGCAAGATCACATATCTACAGAAAATAATAATAAAAACTTAGCTGGACATAGTGGCATGCATCTGTAGTCCTAGCTTCTCAGGAGACTGAGGCAGTGGGATCTTTTGAGCCCTGGGGATCAGGATCAGGGTTGCAGTAAGCCGTGATCATACCACTGCACTCCTGACTGGGTGATAAGCAGGAATTGAGTGTGAACTTGACTCAAAAAAAAAAAAGAAGAATTAGAAGAGTTAACTTTTTAGGCTTCAGGAGGTAATATGATTGAATTGATATTATCCCATAGTGATATGATAGTTGATGAGACTTTGTTTCTTCTCTAGTTGCAGGCACAGGCTTTCCATCCAGGCAGAAACATTGAGCAGAAAGTGCTGACTGTCTTGTAGTACAACAAAAAGCCTCCCATTCTTTCTGACTTTGGTCAAGGAGGAGCCTAGTAGGAGACAGGAAGTAGGGAAGAGAGTGACATCAGGGACTTATTCCTAGGGCTGGCTGTGCCCTTAGTGGGAAATTCCTGCTCCTCTCCAGGTGGCCTTCTGTTCTCACCTTTTTCCTAGCGAGTTCCTCTTCTCACCCCTCTGGACATGGGATGGGAGAGGAGAGTGAGAGCTCTATTGATACTAGCGCAGAGTCTCTGCATGATCTGAGCTGTTTCTTAAACTGCATTCACATCTCAGTCATTAGTCCCTTTGTAAACAAACCCTTCTTAAGTTATTCTGATGTGAGTGGGCCATCTGTTTCCTGTGAGGAAGGTCTCTGAATGACACTTAGATGTCTGATAACAAATATGCCAAAACCAACTTTAGAATAAGGAGAAGCAAACTTGGCAAGCTTCACTGTTAAAAAAGAGGTCACTAAGAATTTTCCTCCATTGTGTATCTTTTATGAAAAAGATATCACTGGGCCATCTAAGAGAACACATCCAACTATTTCTGAAATGATGCTGAACTACGGCTGACATTATCCATGAAGCATGCTAAATGTCCCAGTCATGGAAAAACTGGGATCTAGGGCAACACTCTGGAGAAAGACACGATGTCTTAAACTGCTTTGCTTCCCATATATCTAATAATACAACCCCATTTAGCAAAGGCAATCTCTTTTTGAAAAAGGTTTAAGTAAAATTTTTCTCAAGTAATATAAAATTTCCACAATAATCCTTTAAATGCCCCCTCTTTTCATTTATATCCTCAGTCAAAATAAGCATGACTTTATTGTGTAAATCATGTGCTTTGAGAATTTTCAAGTTGTGATGGCGGATTTTCACTGATCCATTCAATCTTTCTTCCTTATTTCTCTCTGGTGGCTAATGACAGGTTATACAGAGAAGGCAACTCATCAGTAATTACATTTTCTATCTGGTTACCAATCTACTAATGGGTTAAGTTAATAAACTCTACCAAACTGTAGAAACACATTCCTAGTAATTAAAATCCATTAGGTTTGCTGCCTCGTACATAAAAACCTGAAACAAACAAAAGGAAACCAAACAAAAATAAGAATAACATTGTCTTATGCCAGAATTAGTTGTTATTATTCTTTTTTTTAGGTGGTGATTTTACCTGACACATTTATTAATTCTGTCAATATTTGAATACCAACTATTAGTTTAGGTACTGGTGATTTAAAAAAAGGCAAAGACAATTAATACATGAATTATGCTTTTGAAGAGTTTCTAGTCTGGTTGAGAAGAAATTGTGAAACAATGGGATAAATACTACGGGAAAGATAAGCCATAGACATACATAGGAGGGACAGTTATGTCAGGTAGGAGATGTTGCAGAAAATCTTTTTTGGGGCATCACATAGAAGAAAGGTTTTGAAGGATAAATAGAATTAGACCAAGAAAGGGAACAAAGACATTCCTAGAAGAGGGACAAACGCATACAAAAGTCTATATGTGAAGATCTGAAACAGCACAATGTTCACATCATCACAGTACCTCACATCTGGAGAAAAAGGTGAGTATGGGAAGATGACGAGTCACAAAGCAAGAGAAGCAGGAAGGAATCAGATCACAAAGTTTGGATCAGGCTAAGAACTTTACAGAAGGTTATAAGGATAATGTCATTTGGAATACTGTTCGTTATAAGGGTCAGATTATCGTATGGTAAATGGCTTAAAAAAAAAGGAAACATACCGGTTGTATAACTAAATCAAGGAACTCACTGTGACTTCCTGAGGATGGTTTTTCCCTGTCTCCCGGGTCCAATGTCAGGCTTTGAAAATGAGTATTCTAGTCCCTGGACTCCCACGTGCACACCACAAGGTCTGGAGGAGGAGAGGGAAGCTTCTATCCTGGCATTTGAAACGAGAGTTCTGAGATTCACCCTAATTGAAACTTTTTAGGTAACATGCCCACTCATAAACCAACCAGGGCCTTCCCCTGGGAGTGGAAAAATTTTTCATGAGGCACATATGTCAAATTCTCAAAACTTAAGCATTTCACAAGTACTGGAAATACTCCCGTTCCCACTTTTTAAACACTTTGCATTTTATTAAGAAGCTCAACTAATGATCTCTTAAAGAGATGCTTTATTTCTACCATAAGCAGTTGGGAAAAGGACTTATTATCATTTGGCCATGGACACATTATAAACCAAATGGAAAAGGACACATCATAAACCAAATGGAATTTCATTATGTTTTAATTTTGACAGCAGGCTTTCCATGTGTTAAAAACCTTTGTACACACCATACATAGATAGAAAGTGTACTTTCAGAAGATCTGAATTCCAATTCCTGCCTCACTACTTACTTCCTTTGGGCCTGTGAGCAAAAGACTCAAATTTTCCAAAGTCTTAGTTTTTCTCACTTGTAAAATACAGATAATTACCTGTGACCTGAACACATTACAAGATTATTAGAATCAAATAACTTCATTAGAAAGTATTATGTAATGGTAAAAAGAAAATAAACCTAAATAGTATTATATTTTCAAATTATTATTCTGTGTAGCTAACTCAACAGGTAAAAATAATTCATTTTCCACTATCTTGCTTTTAAATGAAGATTCTAGGAATATGATTCAACAAAATAAATCTCTGATGTTATGTTTTATAGCCAACTCAGATAACAGTAAGCCTTAAAGGCCTCTATAAAGGATGGCTTCTTGTCTTACCAGAAAATACAGTTTATTTTTTAAATACATATTTATTGCAGAAAATTAGGTAATACTAATAAACATAAAGAAAAACAAATTCAAATGCCCTTAGTTTCACTAGATATACATTATCAGCATTAAATTCTAAGCATATTTTTTCAGACTGTTTTTTACTCATATACATAAATATGCTATATATATATATATAAGTTCACACTATAAGGTTTATAATATGTTCTTACAGCTTCATACAACAAAACATCTTTCAATATTCATCAGATTTAATTTCAAATATAAATTATATGCATGAGGACATATTTCATTCATTGCACATCTAGCGTGAAGTCTGTAATAGGTGCTTAGTAAATATTTGTTGAAAGGAGAAATGAGTGAATATACAATCATTTAAATATTTCTCCCAGCATAAATCAGGCTACATAGTATATTGCAATAAGAAATAATAATACAATACTTTATATTCCTTAAATATATTATTTTGATTTAAAATATCCAGAATGGTTGTGCACATTTACATATTCATCAGCAGTTCATATAATCTTAACAAATTTGCTCTTATTTTAAAACATATTTGCCATTTTGTAAGGTGAAAATCGACATCTCATGTTAATTTACATTATTTGAATCTGACGAGAATTGTACATTTTTATGGTACTTATCCATATTTAGTTTTTTTGTAAATCGCTTATTCAAATAATTTTGGATGTGACTCTGAATCTCTAAAACACATTATCATCTACCAATTCAGTTATTCATATTATAACAATAACAATAAAATGATTAAAGAGATGTGCTGAGAAATATTCAACCAAATTCTATAATGAGAAACATAAACAGGATTTTATAACGTTATTTGCAACAAACTTAATTATGCATTGAAGGCATCAGAATTTCAATGCCTGTTCCTTTTCTAAAGAATAGGTGAGAATTTTTATCCAGTATCAGAACAGCAAAAACAGTATCAGTCTCATATGCATCCTCTCGAGTGGTACATTATTCTGTATTGATTAGTCCATGCAGAGATGTTCACATTTTATTTCAGGCATTTCTTATGAGATTCTTAGTTCTTGCCTAGGTATTTCTCCCACATGCAGTCTTTGAGGATGGCATCTTTGATATTTCTTTTCTTAGAAGTTTTTGTAGTACTTATGCATTCCTCTAATGTGTTTTGCACAATATTGCCTCTGCCTATTCCACACTTTGTCTTTGACTGCTGCATTCTCTCTGGGGTAATCTGCTTGTTCTCATCTCAATGTTCTCATTGTCTCTGGGGTAATCTGCTTGTTCTCATCTTAAATGTGATAGATGTATTTAAGCCCCCTTCATGAGAAGTTGTTTATTCTTAGGAGTTTGAGTTCATCACAGTGCCTTGACAATTTATGAAAATGAATATTAAACTCAAAAAGATAATCCCCGTGTTGAGTATTATTTAATGTACAATATTGTCTAGGCTGTACCTCTAGCAACCAATTAATAAACATGAATATAAAGATTCACAAAATTAAAGTTCATTTTTCATTTGCATTAATATAGACTTTCCCTTCCCTTTGAAGCTGGCTTCTTTTTGCTTTGATTGTTCCTTAATGTTGCTCTGCATCTGGACAGGACTGATTAGTCTCTCAGGTACAATCTCATTTCTAACAGTGTTTGGGTTAACTTTCGCATATGACTCACAGTGATATTACATTAATTATATCTCTTCATTAGATGACTCACATTGATATTACATTAATTGTATCTCTTCATTAGATGAAAAATTTATTAATGGTAGCATTAATTTTTTTTCTCAATCATTTTGTGTACTTTCTAGTGCTTGGAGGGCTACACTTCCAAGAATATTCAATATATAGTGATAAGACATGCTCTTAAAGTCAGTTAGAAAAAGTGCTCTTAATCATAGTCCTTTTGCTTGGATAAATGATTAAATCAAATGTCCTGTCTAAAGATGAACTATCAATATGAAATAATGTGGGATTCACTAATGATATTCGTGATTTTCATTCACCATCTCTGTTGATTACTTGAATTACAGAGTTAAGAATTTGCTTATAAAATTTGTTGCTAATTCTAAATTTACAGGGGTAAGAAAAAGTTGATTAAATGTGAACTTAATTTTTTAAATTATTAATTTAAATATGCTGTGACAATTTGGAAACATTAATCTACAAAAATCTAATGAAGTTTATATATTCAAGTATGTAAAACATTTTTAAGGGCACAAGTCACAAGATTTTATCCAAAAGTGACCAATATAATAATAGAATACAGAATCAACAAAGGGCTCCATTATACAGTATGTTTTCCTATTATTTTTGGTGGTTTGAAAGTAGAGATATTGCTTTACATTGTTATCATTTAGAGTTTTTAACAAAATAGGCATTTCATTAAAATAGAGTACTGTTTCATAGTAACATCAGTTTTACCTTTCTTTCTTCAATGAGTAAACCTCATGCTCTGAAGAGTCCTACATCCTAAGGCATGAGTTTGTCACCCTTAATTTGGATAGCTACCTGATGATGTTGGGTGATCAGACTCAACACCGGGTCGTGGGGATGACGAAGTCCAGCAGAGTCAAAGGAATGAGAAAAGACAGTTTGAGAGAGAAAGTGGGTCCAGGAGGCCATCGCTAAGTATGGAGGCTGCAAAGGCCCCGAGCTCTGGAAGCCTAGACTATTTATTGGTGATCAAACAAAGAAACAGGTGGTGAGAATGTGGGGATGAAAGGGAGGGTTGCATTAAGCACATGATTTACAGCTGTGATGGTTTAGCATCTGCTCGCTCCTTGAGATAATGGAGAGCAGGTTCTTTTAACTCAAGATACAATGGATCCTGGGGGAGCAAGGAGCAAGGAGCCAGCAAGTCTAGACACATTCCAGAGGCCACGAGCCCTGGATTCAATCCAAGCCATGAGGGGTTTTATGCCCTGGGCTTAGATTATGGTGCGTCAGGGTAGCCTTCCACCCTTTAGCACAGAGCTTGGTGTTCCAAAGGCCACAGGGGTTTTAGACCCTGGACCCCGGACATGTTCCAAGACTCTTTTACATTATGTCAGACATGCAAGCCCTGACTCAGCTTTTCCCAACACTCAGCTTTTCTCCCAACACCTGATGAAGTTGATGGATTTTTTTCTGAGGTCCTTTTCAGGTGTCTCCTCTATCATATTTGTGAAAAAAGAATCATTACGATTTAGAGTAGTGAGAAAATGTGGAAAAATTCTCCTCTCCATCCTTTGAACCCCATGGAAATTTATATCTTCATTTGCTTTCATAAAATTTGTCTTATTTCTTTATTATTCTTTCTTTAAAGGTAGGGACTGTGGTATATCATTACACCTCTTGCATCAGTAGGAAACATTTCTTCCGTATGAAAAGTAGAACCAGGAGTTTGGTGAGTTGAATTGGCTGTCAGGAAAACCACATTAAAATTCCCCCCTTGCTGTTAACTATCCAAGTGATATTTGATGAATCACTTACTGGCCTCAGATTTTTTCATCTGTAAAATGAAAGGATTGAACTAGCTGATCTTGAAGCTGATATCTACTCCTAAAATATTACCAAGTATATAATAGTAATAACCAATCTTTAGTCATCCCCATTAACCTAACACACAAGGAACATGTGGAACATGTTTATATCCCAAAATATTTGGATTTCCTTTGCTGCGAATCACCCACAATCTACAAGAAAGTTTGCATTCCACAGTTTTCTTTAGGCTCTTTTTATTAGCAAACATGCTAAGGTGTATTTATGTATTGTATACTGATAACTGCTCCTAATTGGTGCCAACTCTGAGCAAGGAATACTCTGCTGTGTAAGTGACTCTGGAGATGAACCTTACGTAAGAATTGCTTAGATTCTGCTATTTGCATAACTTTGCCATGTTCTTCCAGAGGCCGAGAGACTTGTTGATACAGGCAAAATAATTCAAGCTGAAAGTTTTATTTTATACTCCTGTTTTCTATCTGACTTTCAAACCTGTCCTAGAGCAAGTGAACCAGCACTTTTTTTTCCAGCTTACTTAATTAGGGAAAAATAATAAGGATATATATAAGCTGCTGTGTGTATATACTATATATAGTAAAGATCAAATTAGTTCATTGTAGATAAAATTTTTACTGAAATGTTTCCTCAATTTCTAAAATGATATATGTATGTGTATATATAAAATACAGATATATATATATGTAATTATATATATACTTTGCTGAGCTCCACTTTGACACAGAGGGTGTGACGCAAAGCAGAGTAGCCAACAAAAACCACTTAACTAGGCCCACCTATACAGTATGACCAAGTTGAGGATAAGCCTCACTAAAATATTTCACCTGGCATGTGTTCAAGTTTTGAGGTTGAATGAGTCTGCTTTTGTTTCTCACTAAGCCTGGAAGAAAGGGAACTTGTTAGGGAGGAGGAGAGGAGAGAAGGGAGGAATGAGTTAAGTCCTTAGCATCTTTAGTGCTTTTTCTTTGCTTCTTTTCAAACAAGCACACCACATTGAATAGCATGTGGAAAATTGGCATTTCCAGTGAATAGAAATTAACTGGCAAACAACAAAAGGGAAAACAGAGGAATGCTGCTGGATGCTGTTTGACTTGTCTCATCTTGTCAGAGAAGGAACACCTGTGAATCAAATGATTTAAGATGAATTTACCTACATGTTTGGTTCCTGTTCAGATGTTTTAGATTTCATAGCAATTTTATTTACTTGGGAGGGTTTTTAAAAGTTTGATTCTTCTGTAAGTTAGGAATAAAAAACAGAAGACCTAAAAGTAGTATGGGTGAACAACCATTCAAATATGCCACTTCAGAAAATTTGCTCAGTTTGTTTTCTTTTGGAGAAACACAAGTGCATGCACGCGCACACACACACACACACACACTTATTTAAATAGCCAACAAACCAACACAAATATCTGCAGTGTTCTGACTTTTAGAAAAGATTGCTAATCTGGTATTTTGATAAGAAATTTGTCTTTTTAAGAATAGAAAATCTTCTTCAATATCAAAATCCTCTCATATTCATATACAGTAATTTTGCCCCCCCATAATATGCTGTATGCACTTCCAAGTTGGAAACTAAAACCTCATTTTATTCTAGAGTATTGTAAAAATTTACTGTGAACAACCTGTGCTGTGACATCATCTACTGAGTGAATGTGTATGGGTTTAGTAAAAAGCCAGAAGCCAACCTCATGTCTCACTTGTTCTTTGCTCTTTCTTTGGAGAAGAAAACCATCTGATACAAATACAAATCATATTTTTTATTCAAATCAATGTTTTCCTGAATGTGGAACAGATACTGTTTGTCATGACAACTCAATCATGACTTGTGATTGAAGCAATTAATCAAAGGAGGGTATTTGGTAAAAGAGCATACGTCCAGTGACAGAAATCACCTTTCATGAAGATTACCTCTATAAAAAGTTATATAAGCTTATATTTTAGTGACAAAGTTGTTAAATAATTCATCACATGTAGAGTAACATAACCATGACCAACAATAGTAAGGTCTTAGAGTTTTCATAGGTCTCAGACATTGTCATTAAATTATGGTGACTGATTTGCAAAGGGGTTTAGCTTTCATGATAGTTGAGCATTAACCTCAGGGAAAAATATATAATGAGCAAAAAAAACACCTGCAGATGATGCTGCTCAGTAAAGCTGGACTTCATTATTTTATATCAGGTTATAGTCATCTGAAAAGTAGGGACTTTCAGAATCACAGACTAGTTGAGTTGGAAGGAAACTTACTTCATAATACAACCATAGGCATACCTTGTTTTATTGCGTTTCACAGATAATTGCAATTTTTTTTTTTTTTTTTTTTTACAAATTAATATTGTGACAACCCTGGGTGAAGCAAGTTTATCAGCACCATTTTTCCAACAGCATGTGCTCATTTCATGTCTCTGTTATATTTTGGTAATTTTCACAATATTTCCAACTTTTTCATTACTTTTATATCTGTGATGTATCTTTGATATTACTATTGGAATTGTTTTGGGGCATCAGGAACTGTGCCCATAGAAGATAACAAGCATAATCGATAAATGGTGTATGTGTTCTGACCGCTCTCCACTAGCCAGCTGTTCCCCATCTCTCTCTCTCTCTCTCTCTTCAGGCCTCCCTATTCCCTGAGACACAAAAATATTGAAATTAGTCCAATTAATAAGCCTAGAATGGCCTCTAAGTATTCAAGAGAAAGGAAGAGTTGCACATATCCTGCTTTAAATCAAAACCTATAAATGATTAAGCTTAGCGAGGAGGATATGTTTGAAAGTTGAGATAGGCTAAAAGCTAGGCCTCTTGTACCAGTTAATCGAGTTGTCAATGCAAGGAAAAATTTATTGAAGGAAATTTAAAGTGCTACTTCAGTGAATACATCAATGTTAAAGCAAAACAGCCTTACTGCTGATACGGAGAAAATTTGAGTGGTCTGGATAGAAGACCAAAGCAGCCACAACATTCTCCTAAGCCAAAGCCTGATCTAGACCAAGGTCCTAACTCTTTTCAATTCTATAAAGTCTGATGTAGGTGAGAAAGGAAAATCTCTGAAGCTAGGAGAGGTTGATTCATGAGCTTTAAGGAAAGAACTCTCAGAAAGAAAGATTTCTTTAAAAATACTACTGCTCATTGACAGTGTACCTGGTCACCCAATAGCTCTGATGCAGATGTACATGATTAATGTTGCTTTCAAGCCTGCTAACACACATTAATTCTGCAACCCATGGAACAAGGAGTAATTTTGACTTTCAAGTCTTATTATTTAAGAAATGCATTTTTAAAGACCATAGCTGCCATAGATAGTAATTCATCTGATGGATCTGGGCAAAGTAAATTTAAAACCTCTGGAAAGGATTTACCATTCTAGGTGCCATTAAGAAAATTCATGATTCATTGGAGGAGGTTATAATGTCAACATTAACAAGTTTGGAAGAATTTGATTCCAACCTTCATGGATGGCTTTGAAGAGCTCCAGACTTCAGTGGAGGAAGTAACTGCAAATGTAGTAGAAATAGCAAGAGAAGTAGAATTAGAAGTGAAGCCTGAATATGTAACTGAATTGCTGCAATCTCATAAAAACATTTTAATCGATGAGGAGTTGTTTCTTATGGATAAAGAATATTATTTCCTGAGATGGAAACTACCCCTGATAAATATGCTGTTAACATTGTTGAAATGACAACCAAGGATTTCGAATACTGTTTAAAATTAGTTGATGAAGCAATGATGGGGTTTGAAAGGATTGACTCCAATTTTGAAAGAAGTTCTGCTGTTGATAAAATTCTGTCAAACAGCATCCTACAGAAAAACCTTTCATGAAAGGAAGAGTCAATCAACGCAGCAAATTCATTGTGTCTTGTTTTAAGAAATTGCCACTGCTACATCAGCCTTTCATAATCACTACTCTGATCAATCAGCAGTCATCAACATCAAGGCAAGATCCTCCACCAGCAAAAATATTACAATTCACTGAAGGCTCAGATGATTGTTAGGAATTTTTAGCAATAAAGTATTTTTTAATTAAGGTACATATATTACTTTTAGACATAATGCTATTGCATACTTAATAGACTACAGTATAGTATAAACATAAGTTTTATGTGCACTGGGAAAACAAAACATTTGTGTAACTTGACTTATTGCTGTATTTGCTCTTATGCAGTGTTCTGGAATGAACTCACAATATCTCCAAGGTATGCCTGGATATTACTTCATTGATGAGGAAGCTTAGGCTTAAAGGTATCAAGTGACTGCACAGGAAGTTGTGGGCAAAACTTGGTCAAGACTCAGTTTTCTTAGCCCCCCAAACTGTGTGCACATTCTGTTATGGCACATTTCAGGCAGATTCTGGGGATATGCTTGTCTTCATTCCATATTAGTGCCTCTGGCATCTAGAATTCAAAGAGGGAGGTACCTGTATTTGGGTTGAGAACACCAGACTGAATTTCAAACTACATTTTCTTAGGAAATAGAGGCAGTGCTTCTGATGTGTCCAGGAACACCTGACTACTCACTTTCAATAAATGTACAGTGAAAAGAATATTCTGCTCTCTTTTGAGTGGAGTGAGAAACTCAATTTCTAAGAAAGAAATAAAACCCTTCCCCCAGTGTTTTATCATTTTGATGAGTTTCTGCTAGAAGTTGACATTATCTTTCCAAAGACAAATATTCTTACAAAATCAAAAGAAAGAAGAGAACTGCTATTGTAGTTTTTTTTTGGGGGGGAGGGAAATTTTTAGAAGTGTTCATTAAGTAAAATATTCGAAATATAATTTTTATGTCCTGAACTGGAGTCACCCTATGACTGTTTTGATTTTATTTGTTAGAAATGAAATTATAAAATTTAAAGGAAAGCATGTTTAACAGATTTTGAAAGGTTAATAATTGTTGACTATAGTAGGAGGTGATTAAGAAAGGGTTCAGAAACTTTTTTGCATGGGCCTCTAAATAATTCATCATTTGAATCTGTCCAATGTGTTCAGCTTTCACAGACCAGCTTAGTATCCCTGCCAAATTAAAGTTGGCAACTTAAAAGCTTATTGAATCTTTGGACCAAGTGTTTTCTTGTTGTTTAGAATTTTTCAAAGACAGAATAATTATTTAAGGTAGGAAAGTACTTGCCCATGAAAAGATGTTTTAATACTGTTTCTCTAAGAATAGGGTTCTATTTTAATACCTCATATTTCTCTTGTATCCTAGTGACTCCTCAACACCCATTTTCCTGGTAACTTCCCTCATTTTACTTTGGCTCATAGTAAATGACCTTTAGTTCTATGGGATAGGGTAATTTGACCCTCCAGGAAGCTAATACTGAAAATATTATTCCCAATCATATTATTCTTTGACGTTTACCTTCAAAGCCACTTAATAAAAGCCAGCTGAAACTTACTTTCCCTTTCTCTATTACTAGCTTAGTTTTTCTTAAAAGATGGTGTTTGATCATAATGTTTAAATAGATAACTCAGTTTTATATTTAAAAATGTGATTTACCTTCCGAAAATGCAATAGGCATGAATTGCAAAGTATGTACTGGATGTATGTTGCCTCTAAAACATTGTATTCAAGAATCCTCAAGAGGGCTGTCTATCTCATTTTACTGCAAGTAACACAAAGAAGCCAGATGGGATATTCAACACTGGACTTGAAAAACTCTAGCTAGATCATCGGATTCATTAGGTACATTTTCCACTTTCCATGTTAGTGCAGGCAACAGTGTTGCTAAGTTTCTGCCACTATGTAACAAAGATGCCTTGTTTCCAGGATCCAATACCATTCCTTCACCGCTTTTAAAGACCTCCCAGCAGCCTCCTCAAAGATCTTGATGAGGCTTTGAGAGTTTTCCTAAAAATCTCTTCAAGGCTTCCAGTGCTTTAGATAACACTCTCCATAGGCCTCCCAAGCTTCTTTCTACTACGTCATCCCCAAAGCCACTAATATATTTTGAAACTTTGGCTGCAATAGCACCCCGCTTCCAAGTACAAAAATTTGTATGGGTTGTTCATTATTGTGTAACAAATCACCTAATAACTTAGTGGTAGAAAACAACGACATTATCCCTCATACTCTTTGTGGATTAGCAGTTTGAGAATAGCTTCTTAGCTGTCTCCAGCTAGAGGTCCTTCATAAGATTGCAGTTAGATTTCAGCTAAGAAAGCAACCATCTGAAGGTTACTGGGGCTGGAGGATTCACTTTCAAAGTGATGTGGTCACCTGGCTGGTGGCTGATGCTGGTTGCTGGAAGCAGGCCTCAGTTCATTACCACATAGATCCTTCTCCAGGGATGCTTTAGCATCTCATGGCTTTATAGTGTTAGGAGATGACTCTCCACACATCTCTCACATCTTGTGAGCAGGGGAACTTAAAATTTCCCTTGTTCTGAATTCTCTTTTCAAAGATGTTTGCATAGCAAACTGCCTTGATTAATGAAGATAGTACCCCTCTAGAGCAAAGGGCAGGGATTTTTCATTTTTATCCTCTTTAATAGAGATACTATCTCCTTACGCTAAAGGTCAGACAAGTTTACAGCCGATTATAAAAAATTGAGTTCCCTAAATTTGGGTGTGTATCTTCTTTAATACAACCCAGTACATGTATAAGCATCCCTTGTTCCACTTTGCATTGGTCTGTGGAAATTGGGGCTGAAGTAACTGAACATGCTTAAACTTTGGTTACTTTCACTGTTTTGAGTAATCAGCTGTCCTTTGACTTTGACTCAGGGGTCTTGTTTCTTCTGTTACCATCCACAAAACTGTGGCAAGGTAACTTGTATGTTTGCAAGTAAGATAAAATCTCAGATATTTCATGGTTCTTGATAGGCAGCTGGCTTCCCCTAGAGTGAGTGATCTAACAGACCAATGCAGAAGCTGAGATGGCTTTTTGAATTAGCCTAGAATGTCACATATCATAATTTCTACAATGTTCTATTGGTCAGCCCTGATTCAGTATAGAAAGGGACTATACACAGTTGGGAATACCAGCAGGTAAGACTCATTGAGGACTACCTTGAAACAAAGCTACCACAGCTCTCCTAAAAGTTGTAAAAACCTTAGCTCAGGGATAATACACTGATTATCTTTATGTTCCCTGTAGAGTTCAAACTAGTGCTTTCATACAATATCCACTCAAAAAATATTTGTTGAGTATCATTATGTGGAAGAGTACTGAAATTACTAACAGCATGTGAATTGGGATCAAGTGAATTAAATATAGCATAGTCATAATTCATTTAATGTATATTTAACCTTATAAATTCAACTTTATCAATTGAGGGAAAAAAAGAAAATGGTTTTCACAAAGCAAAGCCCTTTAGCCATAAGCAAATTACTTCCTCTGATGCTCAACCAATAAAAACCAATAATCTATCCCTACTCCAGGGAAAAATAATTTGCTGAACTTCTCGAGAAATAGAATTATATTCAAACCATGTTTATTCTAATCATAAAAGTTTAATGAACTTTAATAGTTAATTTTGACTTAAGCAATCTGTCCCCTATAAATGTATTTAGAACCTAATCACTGAAAATATCCCTACTGCACTGTGCAACATTTTTATGAAATATTAAGATAGGGAAAAGAAGAGATTTTAGGGTGGTGCTATAGTTCATCTAACTATGTCTAAATCAAACTGCCATCTTCAACTCCTGCCCATTTGGTTTATGGTATCAGCTCAGCTAATGGCACAGACTTCTTTGAAGCTCAGTGATTGAGATTTATCAAAAACAAACCAAAACCCAAAAAACCTGCCATGATCTTGGTGGAAATAATTTTCAAATTCTTACGTAGTTATTATATTTTCTGGCTTGGAATCATAATGAGTTTAAAGCATTAATTAGGAACACATTCCATCCTTTGCCTCCCATGGTTAAACCGTTTAATTAAAGACCTTGAAGCCTTCTGGGCAAAACAATCAGGCCATGATGTGATCATCTCCCTCTTGTTTTCTTTGCTTTGTGCTTCTTCATCTTTAAAAACGTAATTCGTTTATTCTAGGACTATTTGGCACTTTCCACTTAGCCAACAGTAGACAAAAGAAGTCAGTAGTAGTTTGGTTTTGTAGATTCTTGAAGTGATTTATTTCTGATGGTTGTAGACAGTCATTTATTGCATAAATATTTGTTGAGCAAGTGCCAGCTAAGAATCCTGATACTGTGCTAGGTGCTTTGAAACAAGTCATAAACCAGATGCAGCTCCTTGTTTGCATCTAAAGGAGTGCTCAGGAAAGAAGGTGAAATGAGACAGAGACATTCCTATCTACAACCCAAAGAGTCAAGTGGTAACGTGCCATGGTAAAATATTATAATAACGCAGATGGTGAAAAGATTATTTCTTGATAAGAGGAATTAAGAGACAAAAGAGACATGGAGGAGATGGGATTTAAGTTCTACTGGAAAGGAATTAGACATGCAGAGGCTGGGATGAGTGAGACTATTAAAAAAAAAGAACAAGGAAGCAGAAGAATGTGAGTCGTCAAAGTAAAGAATATAAAAGGAAATAACAGGGAATAAATTTGAGCTGAGGTAAAGCATGGAAGTTGAAATTCAAATTCTACAAGTGATAGGAAACCACTGAAGATATTTTAGCAGGGTTGCGATGTCATCTGAAGTTTTCCTTAGGACTTGAAGACAAGAGAATGAGGGCGGTAAGACCAATTAATGGGTCAAATCATCTAATGATTTTGGACTTTATTCTAGGACCAAGAATAAGGCATTTTTAAAGAGTTTTAAAGATAAGAACTAGTTATTTAGATTTGTATTTTAAATAGCTCACTCAGGCGGAGGTGCAGAGTTTGGATAGGAAGGGATAAGAATAGAAAGAGAGAAAGGTAAGATGGCTCCTTAACTAGTCTGCCTTTATAGCTGTTAGTATTTGCAGTCTGCCTTTTGCTTGATGATCCATTTTAGACAATAACAACCTCTTCTGGCTTGACTCAGTATCCTCTTTCAAGTATCTTTTTGATTTTCACCTTCTGGTCTCTCACCTTGTGATCATAGAAAGAAACGTACTTGGTTTAAATAGAATCAACACTTTGGATCCACTTACTCCGTGGTTTCCCCAGTAGTGGAATAGGGGATGGTGAGGTGAGAGGAAATTAGAGAACATTACTGCCATTTATCATTGTTATTATAGATTTTCCCGAGTTTAAATTAGAAGTGTGTGTGTGTGTGTGTGTGTGTGTGTGTGTGTGTGTGTGTGTGCATGTGTGGGTGCCCATCTCAGTATCATTGAAGCCACATACCAAAGACTATAAGGTTGGCCCTTAACTGCAGGCATGGGACAAATGAATCAAAATTCATGTCCTAGACTCAGTAGTTTTAGGAAGGATAAACTCTGAAACTTTTAAGTCTATGAATATAAAGGAGAGCAGGCATTGTGTCCAAAACAAAAAGTCTAATTTTGGTTCTGCCAAATGGGATGGATGTTAGAGAAATCCTCTGGAGCAATTGAAGCTAGAAGAAGTGAACATTTTTTGAAGAACCTTTAACAAAGCCTCTGGGCACAAAAGGAATTGAACATATATTTCTATTTCCTCATTTGCTTTCTTTAATTTTTTTAATTTCTAAATTGACACATTGTAATTGTACATATTTATGGGGTACAATCTGAAACTTTGATATCTGTATATGTTATCTAATAATCAAATCAGGGTAGTTAGCACATTTATCTATTACCTTACACACTTTTTATTTATTTGTGGTGAGAACATTCAAAAGCCTCTATTCTAGCTATTTTGTAATATACAATACCTTATTGTTGACCATAGTTACCCTACTGTGCAATAGAACACCAGAACCTATTCTTCCTAATTGTAACCTTGTACCCATTGACCAACCTCTTTCCATTTTCTCCTTTCCTATCTGCTCAGTCTCTGATAACTAGTCTTTAGAGATAAATTTTTTCTAAATTCCACATGAGTGAGATCATGTGGCATTTTCCTTTATCTGCCTTATTTCACTCAACATGGATGTCCTCCAGTTTCATCTATGTTGTTGCAAATGACAGAATTTATTCTTTTTATGGCTGAACAGTATTCCTCTCTCTCTCTGTCTCTCTCTCTCTCTCTCTCTCTCTCTCTCTGTGTGTGTGTGTGTGTGTGTGCAATATTTTCTTTATGTATTCATCCACTAATGACCACTTAGGTTGATTCTATGTCTTGGCTATTGTGAATGTGCTATAATAAACATGGGAGTACAGATATCTGTTTGACATACTGATTTTACTTTTTTGGACATACACCCAGTATTGGGATTACTAGATCATATGATAGTACTGTTGTTAATTTTTGAAGAACCTCCATAGAGTTTGCCATATGGATGTACTAATATACCTTACCACCAACAGTATCTAAGTCTTCCCTCTTCTCTACAATCCCACCAATACTTATTTTCTTTTGTCTTTTTCATAATAGCCATTCTAACTGGATTAAGGTGGTATATCATTGTGGTATTGGTTTGCATTTCGTTGATGATTAGTGATGTTGAGCATTTTTTCCTATACCTCTAAGCCATTTATATATCATGTTTTGAGAAATGTCTATTTGGGTCTTTTGCCCATTTTCAATCTAATTGTTTTCTTGATGTTGAGATGTTTGAGTTCCTTACATATTCTGTATATTAATTCTTTGTCAGGTGTATAGCTTGTAAATATTTTCTCCCACACTGTAGGTTGTCTCCTTACCCTGCTGATTGTTTCTGTTGCTATGCAAACTCTTTTTAACTTGATGTAGTCCCACTTGTCTAATTTGCTTTTGTTGCTTGTCGCTTTCAGGCCTTATTTTAAAAATTCTTTCTCAGCTCAATGTTGTGAAGTGTTTCCCCTTTGTTATCGTGTAATAGTTTAATAGTTTTGGGTTTTACATTTAAGTCTTTAACCCATTTTGAGTTAATTTTTATATATGGTGAGAGGTAGAGGTCTAGTCTTATTTTTCTGCATGTTATATCCAATTTTCATAGCACTGTTTATTGAAACAACTATCTTTTCTCCAATTTGTGTTTTTGTACCTTTGTAAAAAATCAGTTGGCTGTAGCTGCATGAATTTATGGTTTTCTATTCTGTTCCTTTGGCCTATGCATCTATTTTTATGCCACTACCATGCTGTTTTGGTTACTATAGCTTTGTAAAATATTTTGAAATAAGATAGTGAGATGCCTCCAGATTTGTTCCTTTTGCTCAAGATTGCTTTGGCTATTGGGGGCCTTTTGGATTTCCATATGGATTTTAGAAGATTTTCTATTTCTGTGAAGAATGTCATAGGTATTTTGACAGGGATACATTCAATCTATAGATCACTTTGGGTAGCATAGACATTTTAACAATATTTTTTTTTCAATTCATAAACAGTTTATCTTTCCATTTGTGTGTGTGTCCTCTTCAATTTCTTTCATCAGTGTTTTGTAGTTTTCAGGGGACAGATTTTTTATCTCCTGGTTTATTCCTGGGTATCTTTTTTGTAGCTATTATAGATTTTTAATTTCTTTTTCAGATAGTTTACTATTAACATACAGAAATATTTGTAATTTTGTGTTGATTATATATCCTGGAACTTTATTGAATCTGTTTATTAGTTTTAATAGTTATTTGGTATAGTCTTTAAGGTTTTCTGTATGTAGTATCATGTCATCTGCAGACAACAACACCTTGACTTTCTCCTTTTCTATTTGGATGCCTTTTATTTTTTCCTCTTGCTTAATTGCTCTGGCTAGGACTTCTAGTACTATGTTGAACAGAAGTGGTACAAGGGAGGACCCTTGTTTTCTTTCTGATTGTAGAGGAAGAACTTTTTAGCCTTTGCCTACTCATATGTTACCTGTGGATTTGTTATTTGTAGCCTTTACAGTGTTGAGGTACAAACCTTCTATATTTAATTTGTTGAGCGTTTTTATCGTGAAGGATTTTTGAATTTTAATAAATGCTTTTTATGCATCTATTGAAATAAAAATATGGTTTTAAGCTTTCTTTCTGTTAATGAGTTATATCACATTTATTGATTTGCATTATGTTGAACCATCCTTGCATGCCTTGGATTAATCACACTTAATCGTAGTGAATAGACTTTTTTCAGTATTATACTTTAAGTTCTAGGGTACATGTGCACAATGTGCAGGTTTGTTACATATGTATACATGTGCCATGTTGGTGTGCTGCACCCATTAATTCGTCATTTACATTAGGTATATCTCCTAATGCTATCCTTCCCCCCTCCCCCCACCCCATGACAGGCCCGGTGTGTGATGTTCCCCTTCCTGTGTCCAAGTGTTCTCATTGTTCAATTCCCACCTATGAATGAGAACATATGGTGTTTGGTTTTCTGTCCTTGTGATAGTTTGCTCAGAATGATAATTTCCAGCTTCATCCACATCCCTACAAAGGAAATGAACTAATCCTTTTTTATGGCTGCATAATATTCCATGGTGTATATGTGCCACAATTTCTTAATCCAGTCTATCATTGATGGACATTTGGGTTGGTTCCAAGTCTTTGCTATTGTGAATAGTGCCGCAATAAACATACGTGTGCATGTGTCTTTATAGCAGCATGATTTATAATCCTTTGGGTATATACCCAGTAATGGGATGGCTGGGTCAAAAAGTGTCTCTAGTTCTAGATCCTTGAGGAATCACCACACTGTCTTCCACAGTGGTTGAACTAGTTTACAGTCCCACCAATAGTGTAAAAGTGTTCCTATTTCTCCACATCCTCTCCAGCACCTGTTGTTTCCTGACTTTTTAATGATTGCCATTCTAACTGGTGTTAGAATTCTCATTGTGGTTTTGATTTGCATTTCTCTGACGGCCAGTGATGAGTATTTTTTCATGTGTCTGTTGGCTTCATAAATGTCTTCTTTTGAGAACTGTGAATAATCTTATTGTGCTGTTGAATTTGGTTTGCTAGTATTTCATTGTGAATTTTTGCATCTATGTTCATCAGGGGTATTGGTATGCAATTTTATTATTTGTGTGTATCCTGATCTGGTTTTTGTATTAGAGTAATGCTGTATTTATAAAGTGAATTTGGAAGTGTTCCTGCCTCTTTAATTTTCTGAAACAGATTGAGAAAAATTGGCAATAGTTCTTCTTCAAATTCATCTGTAAAGCCATCAGGTCCTAGGCTTTTCTCCAATGGAAGATTATTATTACTGATTCAACTTCCTCACTCATAATTTGTTCAGATTTTCTATTTCTTTATAATTTATTTTTTTCTAGGTTAACAAATCTGTTGCTATGTAGTTGTCTATAATAGTCCTATTTTTTGTATTTCTGTTGTGTCAGTTGTATGTCTCCTTTTTCATTTCTGATTTTGAGTCTTTTTTCATTTTTTAAAATTTTTATAGATAATGGTTTGTTAGATTTGTTTTTCTTTCCAAGAAAGCAGCTTTTCACTCATTGATCTTTTGAATTGTTTTTGCAATCTCTATTTTATTTATTTCTTCTCTGGGCCTTATTATTTTATTTTCTCCTTATATCAATCTTGGATTTAGTTTATTATTGTTTTTCACTTTCCTTGTCAGATTGTTTATTAGAAATCTTTCTTCTTTTGTGATATAGGAGGATATTGCTATTCACTTCCCTCTCACAACTGTTTTTTGTTGTGTCCCTTAGGTTTTGGCATGATGTTTCTATTCTCATTTGACTCAATAAATTTACCTTTTAATTTCTTCATTGACCCAATGGTTATTTGGGAGCATGTTGTTTAATTTCCATGTATTTGTAAATTTTTGATTTGTTTTTTATTTCTAATTTTATACCATTATGGTTAGAATATATACTTTATATGCTCTCTCTCTTAGATTTGTTAAGACTTGTTTTGTATCCTAACATGATCTATTCTGGAAAATGTCCCAAGTGCAGTTGAGAAGAATGTGATTCTGTAGCTGTAAAATAGAGTGTTCTGTAAATGACTGCTAGGACTATTTGGTCTATTGGAATTTCTTTATATGTAAATTGAAGTTTTTCTCTTGATCATTTAAAAATTCTGTTTTGACAGTTTAGGTGTAATGTGCCACACACACAAAAAGACATTTTGGGGTTGAATGGGGAAGCTTTGAGCTTCCTGAATCTGGATGTGTATATTTCTTCCAAGACTTGGAAAGTTTTCAGCTATTATTTTATTAAATAGTTCTTCTGTGAAGTTCTCCATCTCTTCTCTCTCTAACATTTCAGTAATGTGAATATTTGCTTGCTTAATGATATCCCATATTCTCTTTTTTATTCTTTTTATTATTTTTACTTCTTATTTCTTTTTTCCCTTTTTTATTCTTATTTCTTTTTACCCCTTCTGACTGGATCATTTCAAAAGATCTGTCTTCAAGTTCAGGAACTCTTTCTTTTGCTTGATATAGTTTGTTGTTGAAGTTCTCAATTGTATTTTTAAATTTATCCATTGAACTACTTAGCTCCAAGATTTCAGTTTGGCTCTCTTTTATGATATCTATTTCTTTGTTAAATTTCTAATCTAGATCATCAATTGTTTTCCTGATTATGTTAGATTATTTGTCTGTGTTCTCTTATAGCTCACTGAATTTCCTTAAGATCATCATTTTGAATTTCTTTTCTGGCACTTCATACATTTCCTTTCCTTTTGGGTCTGTTACTGGAGAATTACTGTGCCCCTTTGGGGGTGTCATATTTCTTCTTGCTTTTTCATGTTTCCTGTGTCCTTACATTGGTATCTGCACATGTAATGAAACAGTCACCTTTTTCAATTTTATAAAGCAGTGTTTCATAGGGAGAGACATTTTTCTGTAGATGGGTCCTAGGGTGTCAGTTGGGTATAGTATATTGGCTTTGGTTCTCAGTGGACTCAGAAGCAAGGTGTTTGTGCAGTTTCTTCAGTTGTAATTTTCATCAGTGATGTTTCCCACTGCTTTGGTGGCCTAGGCTGTGAAGTTTGTGACAGCAGTGGTGCAGTTTTTCTGGGGATGGTGTCACTGGGCTGGCTATCAGACTAGGTGCATGTGGGAGTGGAAGGCTGGCCAGCTGTGCTACATGCTGTCCAGGAAGCAAGGCTACCACTATCCTGTCTGTAAGGCCATGTGCACATGGGCATAGCAGACCAGCAGGATGGTGCAGTGGCTGTATAGGGGGGCAGGGCCACCTGCATACTGGCTATTGGGTTAAGCATGTGCCAGTACAGGTACAGTGGTCTGGCTGGCTGTGTGGCAGGCTCTCCAGGTGGTAGGACCACTGCTGTACTGGCTATAGAGCCAGATGCAGGCATGCACAAGTGCAGCAGGCCAGCTGGCTCTGTGTTAGCTTCCTCTCTGTGAAGTTTGGCTTATTCTCAGGGTAATTGAATGCTGCATGATTTCAAACACTGGGGTCTCAGCTGCTTTGCTGGGCCTACAGTCTAGGGAGCCAGGGTCATGGTAATGTAGCCACTCATGTGAATATGGTAGAATAATGGCAGAGCCTAAAGGATGGAGACAGGCAGTGGCTACTGACCCCCAGGGCAGGAAGCACTCTAGTAGTGGGTCTGGAGTCAGGGTGGTGCTGTGCTGTAGCAGCCTAGGACACAGGGGAGTAGTAAACAATGTAGGCTCCTACTTTGCAATGTAGTTGTGTGTTCTTCAGGTGACTCTCAAAACTGGATGTGGGGCTTGTAGGAGTATTCTGCAGCAAGGACTGCAGGTGTTTGTGGTGGTAATGGGGACTGCTACAGGTTTCCAGCTATCTTTTTCCTCGTAAGAAGTTCCTTCTGGGTCTGAACCAATTCTGGTGGGGAAGACAATGTAGCAGATGTAGGTGATTTGCTCACCTCTCTATGATGCTGTGCTGAGTTTCTGTGCTGCATAAGAATTTCACCACTACCTGGGTGCTCTCCAGCTTACTTCTTCAGTCAATCCACTTGGAATATATTAGTTTATTTATTGTTTTGGTGCCTTTTTTTTTGGAGGGACAAGCACCAAGTAATTCCAGCTGGCCATCTTGCTGATGTCACTCCTTCCTATTTACTTTCTTAACACCAGAGAGCAGGGTTTGTGATCAAATTTTAGTACTTTAAATTCCCTATGGGTAAGTACTTTTTATACCTTTGGGTTGATAATGAAAATAGTTGAGCCAGTTGTAAATATTTCCTTTTGGTGAGTGACAATACATTTTTTGCAAAATAAATGACTCTAATTTAAAGAAAATTATCTGCTGGCCTCTTTCTATGTTGTTACATTGACTAAAACCCTGTGACTAGATCAACAGTTTCAGATTTAATTAAAATATTAAAATTGCACTCATATGGGTGGCAAACAATGACATGGAAAGAGATTGAGTCTTTTGCCCAAAGTTACATGGCAGAGGTGGTATCATCATTAATACAATTTATTATCAGGGCAATAAGTGGGTTTGAATTTGCAAGGATAAGAAGCTAACCTCAAAACACAACAAAGAAGAATGATTGATGAAATAGATGAGAAGATGACTCACCACCAAAGAATTATGATTGGCACGACTTTTATAACTTGCTTCTTATACTTGATCTCAAAGCACTCAATAATGAAATTAAGAAAACATTTAAAATGTTCAGCTTATGAAATTTATTTGCTTTCCTAAGATGGCATGCCCATTCATGACACTTGGGTTCAATGCACATATTTAATGGTAAGAAATCTAGCTTAGAAAAATAATAAAACAAGGAGCCATCAAAGCCCAAATCCACAGTCATTTTTAAGACACTGTTAAATGTTGCTTGCATCATTAAAAAAATTTTCATGTGCCTATCACTGAAGAATCATATACCCAATCTTAGGTAAAAATAACTGCATTTGCCAATAGTTTGCAGTTGAAATAAAAACAAAACTCTTCAGCCAGAGAAACCTTTTAAAATATTTCAATATTTGCCTATATCAATTTCCTGACATATATTAACTAATTTATGCCCTCAAGAGGTATTTTTTCAAAGACAGATTGTGCAGGTCCTTTTTCTCAAGCAATTTATAGTTTAGAAAGGCAAATCAGCAATACTTATATATCAAGAAATTTTATTAGGTATTTCTGTTAAAAATATTGCCCCACTTTGTAAACATGTGAGAAAATTATATAAGGTGGGTTTGTTTCAAGACTTTTTAAAAAAATTTTTTTTGAAGTAAAATATGCATATAAACTTTGCCATCCTTAGTATTTTTAAGTGTACAGTTCAGTGGAAATAAATACATTTATATTCTTTTTCCCCCCTATATCCCTCCGCCTACCAATCTTAATGAGATCCATTACTTTTTAGCTCTCATATATGAGTGAGAACGTGCAATGTTTGTCTGTCTGTCCTTGGATTATTCACGTAAGAAAATGGCCTCCTGTTTCATCCTTTTTGCTGCAAATGACAAGATTTCATTCTTTTTTATGGCCGAATAATATTCCATTGTATATATATGCCACACTTTATCCATCTATTCATTGATAGATACTTAGGTTGATTTCACATTTTGGCTGTTGTGAATAGTGCTACAACAGACATGAGAGTGCAGATATTTTTTGACATATTGACTTCTTTTCTTTTGGATATACATCCAGTAGTGAAATTGCTGGATCAAATGCAAGTTCTCTTTTTAGCTTTTTGAGGAACCTCCATACTGTTCTTCATAGTGGCTGTACTAACTTACATTCCCACCAACAGTGTATGGAGGTCCACCTTTCTCTGCATCTTCACTAGCAGCAGTTATTGTTTGTCGTTTTGATACAAGCCATTTTAACTGGGGTGAGATTATACCACATTGTGATTTTGGTTTGCATTTCTCTGATTATTAGTGATGTTGAACTTTTTTTATATACATTTGTTAACCATTTATATGTCTTCCTTTGAGAAATGTCTGTTCAGATCTTTTGCCCATTTTTAAATTGTATTATTTATTTCTTTTACTATTGAGTTGCTTGAGCTCCTCATATATTCTAATTACTAATCCCTTGTCAGATGGATAGTTTGCAAATATTTTCTGTGGGTTATCTATTCACTTTGCTGTTTCCTTTGCTATGAAGGAGCTTTTTATTTGGACATAATCCTATTTGTCTATTTTTGCTTTAGTTGCCTATGATTTTGAAATTTTACACAAGAAATCTTTGCCCAGATCAATGTACTGGAGTGTTTCCCAATGTTTTCTTCTTGTAATTTTATAGTTTCAGGTCTTAGATTCAAGTCTTTAATACATTTTGATTTGATGTTTGTGTATGGTGAAAGGTAGGAGTCTAGTTGTATGCTTCTGCATATAGTTACCCAGTTTTCCTAGCATCCTTTATTTAAAAAAACTGTCCTTTTCTGATTGGAAGTTTTCAGAGTCTTTATCAACAATGAGTTGGTTGTATATGCATGAAACTGCTTTCTGTATTTCATTCCACTTGTCCATGTGTCTGTTTCTATGCCAGTACCATAATGTTTTGGTGACTATAGCTTTGTAATATTTTGAAGTAAGTTGGTATGATGCCTCCAGCTTTGTTCTTTTTGCTGAAGATTGCTTTAGCTATTCAGGGTCTTTTGTAGCTCTATAGATATTTTAGGATTATTTTCTGTTTCTGTGAAGAATATCATTGGTATTTTGATAAGGACTGTATTGAATCTGTAAATTGCTTTGGGTAGTATTGCCATTTTAACAATATTAACTCTTCCAATCCATGAGCGTGGAGTATCTTTCCATTTTTCATGTGTTTCATCTTCTATTTCTTTCATCAGAGTTTTGTAGTTTTCCTTTATAGATGTTTTACTTCTTTTGTTAGATTGATTCCTAGGTATTTTAATTTTTTGTAGTTATTATAAATGGAATTGCTTTCTTGATTTCTTTTTCAGATTGTTCACTGTTGATGCATATAAATTTACTATTTTTTGTATGTTGATTTTGTGTCCTGCAACTTTACTGAATTTATTTATCAGTTTTAACAATTTTTTTGGTGGAGTATTTAGGTTTTTCTAAATATAAGATCATGTCATCTGTGAATACAGCTAATTTGCTTCTTCCTTTCCATTTTGGCTTCCCTGTCTTTCTTTCTTTCTTTTTTTTTTTTTTTTTTTTGAGGCAGGGTCTTGCTCTGTCAACCAGGCTGGACTGCAGTGGTGGGATCTCAGTGCAACCTCCGCCTCCTGGGTTCAAGTGATTCTCCCACCTCTGCCTCCCTATCTGCTGAGACTACAGGCACCCGCCACCACACCTGGCTAATTTTTGTATTTTTTTGTTAGAGACAGGGTTTCACCATGTTGGCTAGGATGGTCCTGACCTCAAGTGTTTCGGCCTCCCAAAGTGCTGGGATTAAAAGTGTGAGCCACTGCACCCAGCCTGTATGCCTTTTATTTCTTTCTCTTGCTTAATTGCTCTGGCCTTTCTAGATTTTTAAGTGTATATGTAGGCACATCTATTTTTTAAATTATTTTATTATTTCATTCCTTTTAAATAATTTATTTTTTTAGAGATGGCATCTCACTCTGTTTCCCAGGCTGGAGCGCACTGGTGTGATCATAGTTCACTGCTGCCTCAAACCCCTGGGCTTAAAGAATTCTCCTGCCTTAGCCTCCTGAGTAAATAGGAAAACCGCTTGAACCTGGGATGGGGAGGTTGCAGTGAGCCGAGATCGTGCCACTGCACTCCAGCCTGGGTGACAGAGCAAGACTCCGTCTCAAAAAAAGAAAAAAAAAATAGCTGGGAGGGTTACGTCAAGGGATTACATTCTGGATTTAATCCCTCTCTGTTACCAAATGCCTGAAAATTTCCTGATAGTTTTTGGGGCCCTATCCTGCCCCCCTTATATCTGCCTGTCTACCTACTCTAACAATAATATCTGCCTCATAGGGCTGATAAGAGGATTAAATTAGTTAATATACCTAAAGGACCATCAATTGTGGCTGTCACATAGTAGTAAATTAATAAATATCATAATTGTTAATAGTAGTATTATTTCACCAAAGCAGCAAAGTTACTTTATTGAAGAAAATAAGTTTTAAAGTTAGTTATATAAAAATATTTTAATATTGCACAAGTGAAACTGTGAACTCATTGATTCTTTTTATTTCACATTCAACCAGTTATGATAATGGGAAAACATAATCTGAATGTAACATTTTCTTTTTATTTATTACATGACACACTAGCATTTAGCTCATAATTTTTTTTGACATTTTTTACCCATGAGAGTTAGTTTCAGCTCTTCATTCTTGCTTATAGTTTCTTGAATCCAAGTTTGGTATTCCTCACTTTTCTTATGAACAGGGAGATTTTTCTGAACAGGGAGATAGCACAATTTCATAGAAAATACATGCATGTTTGAATTGAACTTGATTTTTAATTTTTGCATAACATTTTAATTTATGTGTAATGTATGTGTATCTTAGTGGACCAATGATTTAATTGCTCTGAGCCTGAATATCCTTAGGTCTAAATTATAAACTATAAAGCATACCTTGCAGGATTATTATGTTACCTATTATATATTTAAAATAATTTGCAAGTTGATGGCACATAATAGATAATCAATGATGGCATAAAGTTAAACAGAAACATCAGAAAAGAAGCAACATTTCCAACATATAATAAAAATTAGAACAAAAATAAGACTCTTCACCTTTAGTTTTGGAAAAAATTAAATATTTTAAAATTATGCAGTATGGCAGAAGGTTGGAAAAAACTGGAACCCTTACAAATTGTTGATGAAAAGATAAAGGGGTCCATTCTATAGAGAACAATTATGTAGTGTCTATCAATGTTTAAAAGACACATAGTCTTTGACCCAACAATTCCACATTTATTTAACTTAGGTAAGAGAAGAAAATAAGTGCAACATGCCAGAAATCCAGTAAAGCAGTTCAAGTATCAGAAGAGCGTGAATCAAAACCAAGTGCAAGAAGAGGCACCTTGACATTGAACTGAAGGCCACCAGGTACTCACTGGGTCAATGACTCTTCTCATTTTTATGTAAGTATGAATCATCAGGTGAACTACTTAAAATGCACATTCTTGGACGAATTTCTGCAAAGCTGATGATTCTGGTCCTCAGAACATACTCGAAGTACCAAGGTTCAGGTACTTCCTGCTAAAGGAGTACTTAAACAAAAGAATAAAGAAATGGACACTTCAGTCCCCATGTCTACCCCTCCATGTCAGTGGCCAATAGCACTCAAATTCAGAACACCTTTTCTGATGACCCCATACTGTGTCCAGAATCCAGCCCAACATAATGTCCCATTTTCCAAGTGTAAATTGCTCAGGTATACTTGCAATATGTTAAAATGCTAAGCCCCTTTCATATTATTTCATGTGGTGGTAGGGGTGATGGTGGTGGGGTTTCAAACTTAGGCATGCACCAGAATCAGCTGGAAAGCTTGTTTAAATGAAGATTGCTGAGTCCAGTCTGGATGCTGGGTGGAGTTTTAGATTCAGTAAATCTGAGATGAAGCTGAGAATTTGTGCTTTCATAAGTTCCCAAGTTATACAGATGCTGCTGGTCAGGGACCACAGTTTGAAAACCACTATCTTAATGCAATTGCTTCTGTGCAAGAAAACCAAAACCAAAACCCAAACAAAAAAGTTCATGCCAGTACTAAGTGACAAAAACCAAAAAGCTCTAATAAATTCAAAGGAAATATTTTTCTTCTTTGAATAAATCAAACTGGAAAAGCAGGACTTCTCAATCCTCCCAGAAGAAACAGGAAACAGGATTGGAAAGGCAACTTCAAAGCAAAGGGCACTCCCTGGAAAATGCCCCACATCCAAGCTGAGAACAGTAGAAGTGTGCAAAAAGAAAAGTCTTAATCACTCTCTGAAACAAGAGCAACATTGACTCATAAGATGTGTAAGCATTGTTCTTAAATGTAACACTAGATAAGGATTCATCTTGTGAACCATAGGAGGAGGGAAAATATCTGACAGGTACCCATTTAAAAACATTTCATAACCATTCTCTTGATGAGTCTGTTGAGATGAAGTACTCCAGGTTGAGTTGTAATCTTTTACGTAAAACAGGAAGAAAAGAAGTATTCCGTGACATTCTTACTTTCCTCAAGCATTAAGACTAAAGAAATAATCAAAGAGAAGCAAATGTAGAAATGTAATGTAATTCTTTGGATGGAAATAGTGCCTTTAGGAATAAAATTAGGTTTACTTGACAAAGTTTATCCAGGGAATAGTTTGGGGTTGTTAGTGAGCTTGTAAATTGCCACTGTTACTAAGTGACTTTTAGAATACTTATTGTGAACATCAGTAAGCTTGTGGATGGTTTTTCTTTCTATCCCTGATGTTAATTGAACTAAAAATAAACCAGACATTTATCCAGAATGATTTACCACATCAATTATAAATTATGTATTTACAAGATTTCCTCTCAGATTTTTAAATCTTGGATTTTTTAAAGATGAATTAACACCTTACTTTGAGAAAAAAAATTATTTACCTCTGGAAATTCATGGGCAAGTTAGCCAACAATGATAATGTGTATCCTAACAGGTGTAAAAGATTTCTGGGGGCATAAGTTTGCTCTTTAAAAAGGGAAAGGAATTACTAGATTTAGAATAACTTTCCCCAAAGCAGAACCTGGAATTCCTCCAACCCCTTTAAGTTCTTTAAGCCTAATAGTTTCTTTTTGTTGTTTCTAATTATTAAGTTATTATATAAAATTCAAGACCATTTTACACATAAACAGCTAAAAATGAAATTTCCCCAAAGTCCATTAAGGGGATAGATGTTCCTTCTAGAATTTGTATGTTGTCTATCATTTAATCTCTCTATAACTGTGTGTGTGTGTGAGTGTGTGTGTGTATGCTTATCTGTGTAGTAAATATATTTATATGCTTTTATTTGCAAATAATTTGTACCTTGCTTTTTTCATGCAGCACTGTGGAGATTTTTCTATGTTTATTCTATATCAAGATGTCTAGACCTATATCATTCACTTGATAGTAGTATGGGATTTCAGAATAGAGACACTAGTTCAGTTTAATATTTGTCCCATTGATAACTTTAAGCTGTTACCAGCATTTTTGCTCCTTCAATCAATGCTGTAATCAATGTTCTTATAAACACAACTTGGTGTACATATACAACAGCTTCTTAGATGGCATTGCTGAATCAAAGACTACATACTTTCAAAATTTTGATTGATTATGCCAAATTATCCTCCAAAGAGTTTGTATCAATTTATCATTCTACCAACTGTGAGAATTATATTTTATGCATCATCTCTCATAGTGAATGTTATTAAATATTATTTCCCAAATTAATAGGTAAAAAATGACATCTGGTATTCTTTAAGTTTATTATTGTTTATTAGTTAAGTTGAAAGGTCAGTGGAGAATTCATTCTAGTAACAGCAGGAGGAAGAAGGAAATGAGGGCAACAGCAACATTCAAAGAATATTAGATAAGGCAAAAGCTTAGCTGGTGAAATAGAAAGACCTCAAAATACAGTGGTCTAAATAATATGTAAGTTTCTCTCTCTCTCTCTTATGAAATGTCTGGCCAGTGTGGGCTGATGGGGCAGCTCTGCTGCAGGTGATTATTCAGAAACTCAGGTTTATAGCATTTGCTACCCCTAGGATATGATCCTCTTCTGTATGGTAGAAGCTGGGTTGCTGCATATCTATGCAACCTGTGGGAAGGGGATACCTAGCTACAAGGGAGGTTGAGATGTGGTTTCTAGCTAGACATTTATGCATTCAAAACCCCAAACACTAGATTTTAGCAACTTTTTACAGTGGAAGTGATGCTCCTGACAGCTGCTTCTCAAATGGACGAATTGTTGCTTTGCTCCAAAATTCTATGTATATGCCCTGTATGTCCCGGAGGCTTCATATAGTATCCCCAGGGATGAGAAAAAAAATGTTTGCCAGGTGAATAGTTGCTATCCTATTAAGCAGGAGCTATGTTAATTTTCACCAGTCTAGATATCACTTTTAGCATAACAGCTAAAATCAGATAAAATTGTTGATAATTCACAACCATTCTCCAAGGACCATCTAACCTTCTTCCCTGGGGCTGATTTGCAGTGTCCTCAAAAACTTCCCAGGTCTAGAAACTGAATGAGAGGCTATAAGAGGTCGTGAATACCCCCCGCCCTTTGGCAACTCAAGCCAGATTTCTGTTTAAAAGACATACACTTTTTCCAATTATATAGATCAAGTAATACCTCATCAACTGCCCGTCCACTTTATTACAGGGAACATTGTCATTAGCCACCGCCACAGATTCCTGCAGGTCAAAACACTGATTGCCACCCCATCTCTGTGGCCGATTATGGTAATTGCAACCACCTTTTCTCTGAAGGTTAAGCACTACCACATGGCCTTTCCTACCCCAGGATTCCATTATTCTCATTGAAATGAGAGATTCCAAGAAATGAGAGATCCTAATACAATGGCCGCATCCCCCACCTTTATTTTCAGTTTGCCAAAAAGCCACTTCAAAACTTTCTGAAGATGCTATTCTCTTCATAGTGAATTTTCTTACTTGCCTTGATGGAAAAGAGTACTAATTTTTTAATGCCTTCACAGAAAAAGGTACAGTGTTCTCTGGCATCTCTTGATGGACAGAGAAGGAAGGTGTGTATATTGCATATAATAAATCTGCCTCAAGACCTTAATTCTCTAAAGTCTTGTGTTTTTTTTTTTTTCTTCAAATTAGAGCAAGAAAGTTCTGGCAGATTAATATCATGAAATGTTGTTTTTCATTGAATCCAGGCTTCAGAAGCCAACAAAGGAAACTACTAGAGGTGCTTAAAGTTGCCTTGGCTGGCACACTAATTCAAAATACTGGGAAGTGCATCTATTATCTATTGATGAATTGCCTCAATTCACCCTTATATTTTGTCTTCCTCAATATAACACTCTTAGAAACCATCCCTACACAGGTTATAAGGTGCCTGATGATCCAGTTTTAAAAGATCTTTTAAGTCTTATGATATATACTCTCTTTTTGAAATAGGGTTATCAATTCTATACCTGAGGGCTGCTGAGATATAGCTCTAGTTACGGGTACAGAGGCAATGAGAGATAGTGGGGGGTGGCTTTTCAGAAGAACTGGCATCCCTTTGTAGGTCAAAAGTGCAGATTAGGTCATTGAAAGGTCATTTAAAGGTCTTTCTGCACAGAAAGTTTATTTTTCTAACACTGGGAAAGAAAGGCTCCTTTTTGCAAAATAATCTTCAAGTGATTTAGAAAATCAAAGTTTACACGTTCAAATGGGTCTATCCTATCCAAATATCCTCATCCCCAGTCTCACAGTGTAACTTTTCAACCAATGCCCTAACTTTATCATAAGTGCTTTGGTAATTATGTGCATTTATAAAATGCAGCAATTCTGCTACCTACGCAATTATACACTGGGGCCCAGTCTTCAGGCATGTCTGCCCTGTAGTTACTAGATATAAGGGATTCTTTTAAGGTTCATTATAGGAGCTGTCTAGTTTTCCACTAGTGCTTTGTGTTTGAAATTTAAGTTGCTGTGCATTTTTCTTTTTTTTTGGTTAGCTCCCTGCATAGTCATAAGTAGCTAGCCAGCCCATACTTTTTATAATTACCATTATTGGATCCTCCATCCTATGCCAACACTGGCAATAATCTGAGTAATGATGATACCACAGCAAGCCATTACCTATCTCCTATCTTCCTTCAGGAAGATAATGCCTTCATCCAACACTTAACAAACCAGCTTCTGAATACCCTATTGAGGAGCTACTTTATGTGGCTATTCCTGGTAGTAAATACTGTATTATTCAGAATCCCTACAGGAAATGATTCTCCCCAGATGGTTCAAATGCAGAGACTTTAATGAAGGACTACTTATGGATGTGTGTGGTGGGGGTGAAGGGATAGTGAGCCATCCATGGACTAACATCAGTAAGAAAACATATTACTCCCAGGACAAAAAGGTCGGGGAGGAAATGAAGTTACTCAAGCACAGAGGGAGCTAGGATTATTAAAAATATGGGTCACTTGGTTGAAGCATTGGTCTTGGAGGGATGCAGCTAGTGCTAAATATACCTGCCAACACATGGAAACATCAGGGAAGAAATACTCTTACCTCTCTTTTTTGTATTCTCCAGTCTCCTGCCAGTGCTTCCAATCGCTGAACTGAACTGGGAACAAATCAACAAGGGAAACCAAGAGATGCATTCCTTGAAGTTCAGCCTCCAGGCCTCAAGTAAGGCAGAGGAAGAGAATACATAGATCTGTGGAGAAGAGTGGTGATGGTGGGAGCTGCCAATAAAGAACTATCAAAAAAGGTAACTATCTCACATGTCATCTCATTTTATCGTTGTACAAATGCTGTCACCATTTCCCTGCATTTTATAAATAAGAAAAGTGAGGGTCAAAGTGGCCAAGTAAGTAGCTCACATAGCTAGTAAATAGCCATGCCAAGGATGAAACCAGATCTGTCTAGTGCATATTACAGTCCTTCCTCTGCCACACCATATCATGACTTAAACATTTAGATCTGAGCATGAAAATGAAAAGAGATCGAAAGTGATAGAGTTGGGAAGGGGAGTGGGCACACACAAAACATGCGTTTTTGACATTCTTGAAACAATTTTAAATACATGTTCTTAATAGAATTTATAATAATATGAGAAGATTTATTTACAAGTTTTTTACTTACTTGAATGTAGGGCTCATGAGGACAATGATTTTGTTTTTCTTCTTTATTGCTATATTCCTGGTGACAAGATCATTGCACAAAATTTAGTAAATTTTCAAAGAATATTTGTTGAATTAAAAACTAAACAAATGAATAAATTAGTGGGTCAGGATATATGCATGTTCCTTTGGAAAACTAGTAACATAGAACTGTAGCCTGAAATAATAAATTTTTAAATAATTATTCATACCATCAAGCATTTCCTGAATATTTCCAGGAAAAAAATATCAAGTTATATAGGTATCTATTTTCTTGTTTAAATACAACAATTGTAGTTACACCTATGCTAAAGGCAATCAGTTCTGTCTTTACACCAAGTTTTGACCTCTATAATAACAAAATAATATATTGACCACAGTAACCTTTTAAACACTTATTAAGAAACAGTTATATAAAAATTATTTCTCTTATTTAAGATAAAAGTCACTTGTCCTTTCATCTTTTCCTTACACAAACATTTCCAGATTAATTACCCTTTTGTATACCCTCTTCTGTGCATAGTTCAATTTTTCATTAATTTTCTGAAAATGTTAATACTTGGTAACATAAACTTAATATAGTTCTTCATATGTTTACTGACTTATCAAGAGCAAAGTGGAGTGATTGCCTTCCTTTTCTTGGGAAATATATCTCTGTTAATTAACCTATTTGGGAACTACATCTCTATTAATTAACCTATCAGTAAAAACAATTTTCCATTGTGGCCATATTCTGTTGTTAATTCAAATCGAGTATGCAGCGAACTAAAAGCATCAAGTAATTTTCACAAAAACTACTCTTAAACAAAATTCATTGTGTATAGGTCCACCTGATAGTCTTAAGACCAAATTTTGAGTTTAGCCACTGGACAATTTGCAGAAGTGCACCCATATGTGTTTTGCCCACCACTTTATCTGTAACATGTAGCACAGTAGCTCATATACAATAATAAAAGGAATAATAATGGTAAACATTTATGAGTGTTTACTTATTTTCCAGGCACATAATACATATCAGATTACTGTTTCAGTCACTAGAGTTGGCTCCTGACTAGTTAGTGAGACTTTATCATTACCAGTTTTGGTGACATATCTTAAATTCCAGGTTTAAGATGATAGTAGGAATTCATTGTGATGAATTCATTCATTTCCTTGTAATGTTTTTAAGGCTCACTTGGCACTGAATAGAGACCTCAGATTCTAGTCTATTTGATCTGAATAGACTCACAATGAGTATTACCAGAGCTGTTTCATCCCATTTACCTAGCACTCACATTTTGTTACATTTTCCTTTTCTAATTTCTTATTTTTTTAGTTAACTTTTTGTATAACTTTCCTTATTCCGTGCTTTAACCTAAACCATGGAATCAGAGGTAGAGAGAATGAAGGAAAATCACTGCAATAACCAAGGATGTACTGGGGTTTGGGAAGTATAATTATGTTTGATAAACACAAGAGACAGACAAATGTTTCTGAGAATGCTTGCCTATCTGTATAAATGGCTATGAAATCCTGTGTGTTCATTTGTAATTGGCATTACTACATGAGGTTGATAAAATGTGTACAAATCATTTTCTAAAATACAACATTGTCTTAAATGCAACATTTATTTTTAATGGAACCTATCGTATAATATAACACCAGTGGCAAGTCACATCACATTTAATGTGCAGCCTGAGGTGGAGTCCAGAAACAATGGAATATTTTATCTCCCATTGGTCACTATAGATTCAGTAATTTTTCTCAATTCTCCTTCCTGCCATGTGTCTGGCAGTGCATGACTATGAGTGGAGATTTCTCTATTCCACTGATGTTCAGTTTGGCCACATGAAGTTTTTGGCCAATGAATATAGAATTCTGAGTCAAGATCTTAAGAGACATCCTAGGTGTTTGCTTGCCTCCTTGGGCTTCTGTGAGCCACTGTGAAGAGAACATGACTTGGATAGCTCCTGGTTCTAGGGGTATGTGGAGACATACAAAGCCCACTCGTAGTTAACCTGAAGCCTGGGATGCAGCACAGTCAACTCAGCCTACAGCAGAGCCATCCCTAACAAACCACAGACCTGTAGGAGAGGAAATAAACACTTGTGGTTCCAGTGCACTGAACTTTTGAGTAGTTTGTTATGTAGTATCATAGTAGCTAGAGCTGATTAATACAGTTACATTGAATTGGGGGAAATTTTCAAAAGAAAGGATAAGAGCAAACAAAGTTAAAGATGATGTCAGGAAAGGAGCACAAGAGAGAACTTCTCTTTTTAAAAGCTAAGAGAGGAATGAAAGTTATTAAAAAGAAACAAAGTTCCATTTGCCTTCAATTCCTGGCCTGCTCTCAAACACTGGATTAAATTAATTGTTATCCCCATATTAAAATTTCAGTTTTTAGGGTGCCCACTAGTGTGAGTAGTGAATAAAAATATCTAGTAGCAAAGGAATAGTCTAATTTTCTCAAATAGGAATACACTGGGAGATGAAAGGTAGGCACAGACGGGCTGTGTAATTTCAGCCTGCCTGAGTCACAATTTCCAGTGAAATTCTGTGTGCCTCTCAATTAGGTTTAAATGTTAGAGGTCCATTTATAGAGTACAGTATATCTGCTTTTGATATCCCAATCATATGTCATGGAAAAAGTAATAGGGACTTGGGGAAGAAAAGAAAAGAAAAGAAAAAGACAACATTCTTAAGAAAAAAAGTTCTGAAACATGACGTGAGTTGAAGCTTCCTTTGAGTATCTCTTTGCTCCCATCATATTAGGAGAAACTGCATGGAAAAACTGATCCATTATTTTTAAAACTGGAAAATTAGAAAATTACTCTTCAATGCTTTTATGAATATATAACTAATGAGAAATAAATTCAGTTACATTCTTTAACTGCTACCCCCTCCCCCAACATGAGTGATGTCTCTAATTCAGCATGACCTACTGTCAGCTCAGGAAATTTCCATCCTGAGATTTTCCTAGCAGAGTCAAAATCAGTCACCGTCAGAAACAGATAAAAAATGTTTTAAATGAGAGTGCTTGAAACTGCATTTAAATTCTATCTTGAAAAGTTGCAAAGTGCTTGGTTAATAATTTTCCATAGTATCATTTTTAAACTATTTTGGCATGCTCCATAAACAATACGTACATTTACTGTTCACATAGTTAAGAAAAAGACCTTATATTTCTTGGAACAGAGTATCTTTGAGAAAACAGAAATTCATCCCAGTCCACTGACATTATCCAGCTCATTACAGGTGACAGACAGGTTTGGGTAGACCTTGGCCTGGCAGTAGATTGGAATGAAAGGGGAATTTGGAACAGGTTGGTCTCTCAGGTATGGGTTCCAGGTGGAAGAAACATTGTTTGGATTTTGGGAAACCTCCCTCCCTTTTTCCCAGCTGTTTAACAACACATTCTGCAAAGATGTTATTTCTGTACTATTCTAGGCCTACTGTTAAGAGAGTCCCAAGATCCATCCATTTTCCCTTTATTTTTTTCCCCTAAATTTTGTAAGGCTGTTTCAGAAAGCCCAGTGAAGAGGCAGAAACAACACATTTAGGAGACAGAGTCATAAAGGAGATATGGATTCATAATCTAGTCAGTTATTAATTACATAGTGAGTAGACTAAGAAACAAGTAGAAAACTTGTTTCTACTTGTTAAACAAAGTTGAAAACTTGTTTCAGCTTTCTATCACTGGGATAAAGGAAACAAGATGGAAGAAGAAGGAGTTCATAGACAACCCAAATCACAATTAAAGCAAAAATAGTCAAATGGATTTGATCAAAACATTTATTTAGGCAATATTCAACATTTGGGAACAAAAGTACGATTCTGTAGGCATCATTCAAAAGTGTAAAAATAATATAATTTTAGTTCACAAAGACCTTAAATTTCAAATAAACTTTCATAAATCATGAACAAAAAATTTTCTGTTAGTCTGACCTGTTTACATTTAATAAATTTATCTTTTGTCAATTATTGGAGTAGGAGCTGTGCAAGGCAAAATTAAAGCCCATGCTCCCTTCCTTTCCTCACTTAATTCCTCCAGTTTCACAGCCAACATAGTGGCTTTGTCTGGGTTTAGGGCTGACCCTATAATTCACTCTCAGAAGATAGACCTAAGCCAGGGTTAAGTTGGAGCTGGGACTGAATCACCTTCTCACCACCTACAGCACCAAGTGCAGGATCCAATATGTAGCAAAGGCTTCATCAATATTTGTTGTATGAAAACGTGAATAAGAGACTGTTAGCCAGGAGAGGAGTGTTGATGTTTAAGGGGCTCAGTTCTCAACACCTCTCTATTCTGTTTGACTTATGAACTAACTGAGAAGTAGGACAAAAGAGTAAGTCAGATGGGAAACAAAATAATTCCCAATGAAGCTAATAAAATAGAATATGGTTTAAATGTGCGGGCAAGTGAACTTCCAAATACTCATCCTCAGAACTAGATAAACTTACCTACCCAGGTACAAAAAGTACTGGACTACCAGATGCCTTCTCCCAAAAAGAAATGGGGATAGAAAGAAACAAGTTTATATGTATCTAGTTTTTTTCAGATTTACCCATCAGATTGAATGTTGTGTCTTTTTGAAGAGAAGCAAATGAAGGGGTAGAGAGAGGCTAAGAGCATCACACTGGTGGGATTCCTCCACATGGAAGGCAACATTAAAAATGCTAAAGAGCCGGCCGGGTGCGGTGGCTCACGCCTGTAATCCCAGCACTTGGGGAGGCCAAGGCTGGGCAGATCATCAGGTCAGGAGATTGAGACCATCCTGGCTAACACGGTGAAACCCCGTCTCTACTAAAAATAGAAAAAGAAATTAGCCAGGCTTGGTGGCGGGCGCCTGTAGTCCCAGCTACTCGGGAGGCTGAGGCAGGAGAATGGCGTGAACCTGGGAGGCAGGGCTTGCAGTGAGCTGAGATCGCACCACTGCACTCCAGCCCGGGTAACAGAGTGAGACTCCGTCTCAAAAAAAAAAAAAAAAAAAAAAGAATGCTGAAGAGCCATCCCCTCACCTCCCAATAGGGAGGACTGTTACAGAGTCAATAGGTGAGAGCAGGGGCACTTTGTTATACAAAGTAGTGTCCTCTGGTTACTTTTAGTTTCAGGCATTAAATCTCTATATCTTTTTTTGGTCGACTTTTGGGTAATTAGGAAAAATCTTGAAAGTTCCCAAATGTGTTGTCTCACTGTTTGTCTCCACAATTAGCATTAATCAGCCCCCAGATAATGAAATTGACTCCAACTTCCAAAATTGTCCCTTAAACATGGAGACAAATTCTGTGCCCACCATTATGGAGGTGTTACCAAATGAGGCCACTAATAGAATTACACATGAATCATGTGAAAAATTCAATGCTAACTAAGTATTTTAAAACTGTTTGGGGATTTGTGAAATATGATAGACTATAGAAAGCTTTTTTGTTAATTCTGTACATAATAGTATTTTAATACCACAAAACATGCCCAGGAAAATCTTCAAAACAGTCAAATAGGGCCAAGTGCAGTAGCTCACGCCTGTAATCCCAGCACCTTGGGAGTCCAAAACAGGAGGATTGGTTGAGCCCAGGAGTTCAAGACCAAGACTGGGTGACCTAGTGAGAACTTCTCTGTCCAAAAAGTAATAATGATAATAAAATAGCTGGGTTTGGCGGTGTGTGCCTGTAGTCCCAGCTACTCATGAGTCGAGGTGAAAGGATCCTTGAGCCCAGGAATTCAAGGCTACAGTGAGAGGAGATAGCACCACTGCACTCTAACCTGGGTGACAGAGTGAGCATCTGTCTCAAAAACAAAAACAAAAATGTAAATATGAATTTGTATTTTAGTCCCAAGAAAAACAGAACCCCACAAAGATCCAACTTTAACTGATTTTAGGGTAAACAGTCTTAGAAACTACCAAGCAGCACATGGTTCCCATCAGAATATAACTGAGTCTGTTCAGCCAAAAATTCACCTTTGAACTGTCAAATGGTTTAAAAGCCACTGAGAACATGGTCAATATTATTAAATTATACTCAAGAAAAGTTTTATCCTATTTCCTTTTCTATAAACAAATTTTTTCTGTTTCCATTTATTTTAAAGCAGCTAAAGCATATTTCAAATACTGACGAACGATTGAAAGTTGTCAAACAAATGAAATTATATAAATATATTGAAAGGATTACAAAGTTGTACCTGTCTGGGAAACTTAGAAACCGAATAGGAAAGATTTAAAAGAGGAAAACAAAACAAAAAAGCAAATAACCCAGGCCTAAATATTATATTTAGAGAATTAAGTTTGCCATAGAATTGTTTTCTTCTTGAATTAAAGCCAAGTCAGTGGAAACTTTTAATAAAAATCACATATTTGATACAAATTTATGAGTAATTCTGTCTCTATTTTTAGCTATATTTCTTATGGAAAAAATATAAAAAATCATGTAGCTACTTTTTGAGTTCATCTACTATGAAATAGTTCTGATTTCATTTGGGTTAATTACAAACAGATATTTCTTAATAGTTTAGACCACCTCTTCCTTAAACTCTTTTTCTATGATATTTTCATAAAGAGGGCATAATAACCTCTTAAGATTTTATATGTCCTTATAAACTTGTAGTATTATATTATCAAACAGCATATAATTTTGTGCAATCTTCCTTTACAAAATAATTTTAAAGAAAGGTTTTATGGAGAATCACATAAATATAAAAATACGAGAATGTTACAGAAATAAAGCTTCTACATTGCTATGCTTCCTTATCTTTTCGATTTCTTTCACCTCTTGTTTTTCCAACAAACTGCTTATGACTATTTGTCCAACTTCCCAGTGTGCATTGCCTCAGAGAGCTTCTACTCCAATCCAATGCTTTCCACACCCTACATTTTGGACCTAGGTGTTCTCCTCTCGCTTGTGGTTCAATCCTAATTTTGTACTTCCTAGAACTTTTTTTTTTTTTTTGAAGAAGCTATGTAAGTAACTAAAATACAACAGTTTTAAACAAAACTCATTTCTTCTCCCTCAGACTGCCTTTCCATTCTAATGTTGAGCAGCAGCTGGGGCACTGTGTCTATCTGCCTCTCAAGCCAGGAACTTTGCAGTTATACTTTTTCCTCCATCTTTCCTCCCTTACATCTGTTCTTCTCACAACACCTAGTTTGTCATCAAACTACCAAGGTTTTTTGTAGTAAAGTTTTTTCCCCTATGACATAGTACTCTGTTACACCATATCTTCTACAGTGGGATGCACAAAAAGACAGTTTATAGTACAAATATTAATTCCAATAGAATAGAGATAATTCTGCGTTACTGTAGTAATTGAGTTACAGAAAGTTTGGTCTCATTACTCTTTAGGTTGATAAAGTTTGAAGGTAGACATAACTACCTGGTGCCAAAATAACAATCCCAAGTATGGATTATTAGCAGCCTAATAAAAATAGAACACTATTTCTTTTAGATTTAAGGGTATAAAATTATCAATTAATATACATAAAATATTTGAACCCCTTCTACAGCAAACACTTTTGTATTCCTTAAAGGAACTCTCAAGGTGCTGTCACTTGTTCTGGCTTCTGGGACTGCTTATGTACTTTGGGGGCAGCACAGTTTCTGATACTCTGAGTAACAAGTTATTGGCACCTAAGATTCTTTAACCCTGGTGGTACTGTGACACAAATATGGTGATATTGGCTGTTCACACTCCTTCCTATAACTTCTCATTCCTTTTCCTGCTTGCTAGTTGATTTAAGAGCCAGCCATCTTATGAGACAGCTTTAAATTCAGCCTTGACTAGAAGCAGAGGGATGGATAAAATATAGATTTCAAGACCCTTTCATTCCTAGAAATTTTGCGTATTTATTTCTTAAAAAATTATTTGATAAGTAAGTGCAGTGATTCTGTGTTGATGAGTGCAAGAAAAATGTCATCGTATTAACTTTAGTCATTATGCAAAGAGAAGATAGCTGTATATTATTTATATATATATCAATTTAGTTTATATATTTGTAGTTTTTCCTTTGAATACCATTTCTTTGTTAAATAATATGAAAACTTCACAAAAATTACAGCAGGTTAATAAACAGAATTGTAATTTAGTTCATTGAAAGATACACAGATGAGTTTAACTAATCAAAATTCATAGCTATCTTACTAACTGAACTCATTAATCAGCTAACAGTGTAGTAATCAGTATTAATTAGCCATCAGCCACTTTTTTATGGTCATTTTACTAATTAAAATGTTAGCTTTGATTTGAAACATAGGAAATATAAATTGAAAACTACTTATTCTAACTACAGATTACAGTGAATTACAGTCACCAATACGTTATTGGTTTGTTTGTTAAAATTTCTGTGAGATGACATATCCAAGTCTTGTGGGTTATGTGGATAGTTCTACCTTAAAGGTGAATGGATATTTTGCAAGACTTAAAGTAAAATTTCATATCAAGTAAGTGCTAGATCAAATGGAAGAATTAACCATATATTTATATGTTCCTGTCATACCATTTAAGAAAAATAAAAGGAACGTTTTTATTCAAACCTGTAAATTACTCCTGTCATCTCATTGAGCATCTTAAAAGTTTTGAAACAAAACTTCATTTCATTGCAAAGAAGGACTAAGACATTAAGATATATTTGTCTTAAGTAATAAACTTTTCTATCTCCAACACAATAATGAACAAAGCCATTGGTGAAAGGGTGCAATTGAGGGATTGTTGTCCCTCTATTACTCTGATCAGTGTAATCAATATGTTTACAAACAGTACAGGAAACTGGAAAGAGAATAGAAGGAAAAAACAAGAAAATTTGTTTGTACTGTTCGTTCAGGCCCCTATAGCTGTGGGATCCAGGGATTACTCTAAGTAGAACTTCCAAAGGCCCTTTTTTCTTATTTATCTGAAAGACTGTTGTGATACAAAAAACACTCACGAAGGGACCCCCTAGAGATTGTTTCATTAATCTTTAATTCTTAAGGCAAACCTACACACAAATGCTCATATGAGACAAAGGAATTATTTTTATGGAGAATTCCACAGCCTCCACGAACACCCCATTCCAGTGTTTAACAACGGTCATGGAGTTCTGCCTTATTCTATAAAGTCATTCTTTGTCTCGACTTTGTGCTCTGACAAGATTGAGAACATCTGGTCCTCATTCCTAATATAATGACATTTCCTGCTCCAGAGTTCCTCTTTAAATCACCCTCAACCTTCTCTTCTTTAGGCTAAATTCCAGGTCAGCTCACTCTTCTCCAGAGTCATATATGCCGAGCTTTTCAGTATGATTGCCATCCTAATTCGTAAAGAGCCACTCTCCTTTAGCCCAGAACCAGTCCCTTAGCTGAGAGGACCAGAACTTCCCACCTGATTCCTGCTGAGCATTATTACATGACTAACCTTCCACATCTCTGTATGCTCGTTACCTTCATTTAAGTTCTCAAACATGCTCAAGGAAAAGAAACTATTTTATTTCAGAAAGAGACATTTCTTTCCATCAACTTGCTTTCCTTCTCTGTCCCAAGGGAAGATTGCAGATCACACTGAGCTTTGGGAGTCAAGTGGCAGACAGCTGTGGCTTCAGCTTCCAGCAGTCACACGACTCCAGAGGGACTGGAAGGTCAAGGGAAGCATGTAGAACCGCAGGCTGTTCACGTGGCTTGGAGGAGGAGATGACCCACCCTTAATAAAACACCGTCTGCCGGACATGCCATTGGGACTGGCATGCTAATTGAAAACAGCAGGAGTGGCTCTGCAGCTCTTTGACTTTAGCACTCAGCTTAGCATAACTTTTCCTTCCACAGGAAAGGCAGTCCTCGGCCAGTAAAGTGGTGTTTCTTAAAAAAAGAAAAAAATCCAAACAAACCACTGCTCTAGTAGAAGATAAAGAAACACTTATCTTTATTTTCTTTTTTAGGAAGTTCCATAGTATTTAATTAATTAATTTATTTTATTTTATTTTTTCAACTGGACCAAAGCTTGACACTGCTGTCCACAAATATTTTATCAAATTAGGATGGAAAATACCTATTAATCAAATTCATTTTTTTCAATATTATGAGTGCCCTGTTATTTTTACTACAATTTATTTTTCTTTTTTCTACATCAAAGTAAAATGGGCAAATAGTTCAATAGGTTTGTATTATTTTTATGGAATAGCAATGAAGTGCCTACCTCTCCCAACCCCAGTTTTCTTTCCTGGAAGCAACTACTTTATTCTCTTTTAGCTATTGCCTTTATTACTTACCTCTGTTCCTTTAAATAATATGCTTAGTGTTAGTTTTGGTTTTTTAATTTTAAGCAATACATACTGACTTTCTACTATGAAAAATTAACATTTAACATTTGTCACTCCACCTCTTTCTCATTCATTTTTTGTTTCCCTAGCCTCTCAATATAATTATATCATAATTTTGGTTAAATAGGTGATAAGTATTCACATTATTAAAAATAGCATATATATGTATAATGCTATTTACCGATGAGCTATATAGGATAAAATGATTATTCTTCACCATTTATATAGCATTTTATTTTCCTAGAATTATAAATTTTTCTCATTTTTTTCTGTTCATTTAGTTTTCTATATATTTATCATGAATGCATTTTTAAACTCTCACAAGTTATCTGTATCTCCTTTTTAAATGTTTAAACATCAAGTGTTTTATCAGTTCTTTCTTGTGGTTATATTTCTTCTGAAGCCTTTCTTGCACGCTAACTTCTTTGTCTTTAAATTGATATATCATACATGTACATAGTCCTCTAGAGTGTTTTTGATCTGCTGTAATCTGGACTAGTTTCTCTCAAAGCCATCATCATGGTCTTTCCCTTGGCCATTATACTGAGAATTCCATTTGCTTCCCTCTTGAGTGGATCTACTGTTTTCTAGATTCTCTCTCCTTTATGCGGATTTATTCTCTTATTTTGCAGTATTTGAACAACACTGTAAAGATTTCTCCTTGCTCATTTATTAAGCAAGGAGTTCCCTCACTTTCTTCTGTAGTTCTCTGAACCCTTTAATATTGGGGAAAGGATGATGTTGTTTAAATACTATACAGTATTATTAGTCACATTGTACTATGGTCTACTGAAGAAATTAAATATCACATAATTCCATTTTTAATTTTTTAGAATAAGACAACAGATGTCGGAGTAATATCTGTATTTTATTGAACTTTATGATAATATGGCAATCAAGCTATTTTTAAAAAGGCTCTGCTCTGCCACTACAGATAGCTAAAAGTTCAGGATAATATGTAATAAAATTTTAAAAATATATAAACTGGTTTCAAGTGAAAGGAAAATTCTAAGTTGGCAAATACAAAAAAAGAGAACTCAAACCAGATCAGGCTGTGGGGGCAGCTGAGACCATGTAAACCACGGGAGCTATGGATACAGATATCGAATTTAAGGGCTGGGAGATAGGCTATTAATGCCCAGCTGGGAGGAGGAAAAAGTCTTAAAACTGCAAGCTTTGAAGTCTGAGTGGAAAGAAGTCTTCAAATTCTTGCTTAAAATTCTACAGTCCCTTGCCATAGCAATCAGAATTAAGTCCACATTAGCATGGCTTACAAAGCCCTTAATCTGAGAATTTCCTGTGAAATTTCCAGCCTCAGCTATTTCCATGTGGTGCCTGAAACATATATACAGTCTTAATCAACTATACACATGGTCACAAGTAGGCTATACACATGGTCACAAATAGGCTATACACTCTTTCTTTTCCATTTGAAAGTTTTTTATTATTATTATTATTATACTTTAAGTTCTGGGATACATGTGCAGAACGTGCAGGTTTGTTACATAGGTATACATGTGCCTTCATGGTTTGCTGCACCCATCAACCCATCATCTACATTAGGCATTTCTCCCTAATGCTATCCCTCCCCTAGCCCCCCACCCCCCGACAGGCCCTGGTGTGTTGTGTGATGTTCCCCTCCCTGTGTCCATTTGTTCTCATTGTTCAACTCCCACTTATGAGGGAGAGCATGCGGTGTTAGGTTTTCCATTCCTGCGTTAGTTTGCTGAGAATGATGGTTTTCAGCTTCATCCATGTCCCTGCAAAGGACATGAACTCACCCTTTTTTGTGGCTGCATAGTATTCCATGGTGTATATGTGCCATATTTTCTTTATCTAATCTATCACTGATGGGCATTTGGTTGGTTCCAAGTTTGCTATAGTGAACAGTGCGACAATAAACTTATGTGTGCATGAGTCTTTATAGTAGAATGATTTATAATCCTTTGGGTATATACCCAGTACTGGGGTTGCTGGGTCAAATGGTATTTCTAGTTCAAGATCCTTGAGGAATTGCCACACTGTCTTCCACAATGGTCGAACTAATTTACACTCCCACCAACAGTGTAAAAGCATTCCTATTTCTCCACATCCTCTCCAGCATCTGTTGTTTCCTGACTTTTGAATGATCGCCATTCTAACTGGCATGAGATGGTATCTCATTTTGGTTTTGATTTGCATTTCTCTAATAACCAGTGATGATGAGCTTGTTTTCATGTTTGTTGGCCACATAAATGTCTTCTTTTGAGAAGTGTCTGTTCATATCCTTTGCCCACTTTTTGATGGAGTGGTTTGTTTTTTTCTTGTAAATTTGTTTAAGTTCCTTTTAGATTCTGGATATTAGACCTTTGTCAGATGCATAGATTGCAAAATTTTTCTCTCATTCTGTAGGTTGCCTGTTCACTGTAATGATAGTTTCCTTTGCTGTGCAGAAGCTCTTTAGTTTAATTAGATCCCATTTGTCAACTTCGGCCTTTATTGCCATTGCGTTTTGTGTTTTAGTCATGAAGTCTTTGCCCATGCCCATGTCCTGAATGGTATTACCTAGGTTTTCTTCTAGGGTTTTTATGGTTTTAGGTCTTATGTTTAAGTCTTTAATCCATCTTGAGTTATTTTTTCTATAAGGTGTAAAGAAAAGGTCCATTTTCGGTTTTCTGCATATCGATAGCCAGTTTTCCCACCACCATTTATGAAATAGGGAATCATTTCCCCATTGCTTGTTTTTGTTAGGTTTGTCAAAGATCAGATGGTTGTAGATGTGTGGCATTATTTCTGAGGCCTCTATTCTGTTCCACTGGTCTATATATCTGTTTTGGTACCAGTACCATGCTGTTTTGGTTACTGTTGCCTTGTAGTATATATACTATATCAGTAGTGATATACTATATACAGTAGTGATGCCTCCAGCTTTGTTCTTTTTGCTTCAGATTGTCTTGGCTATACAGGCTCTTTTTTGGTTCCATATGAAATTTAAAGTAGTTTTTCCTAATTCTGTGAAGAAAGTCAATGGTAGCTTGATGGGAATAACATTGAATCTATAAATTACTTTGGGCAGTATGGCCATTTTCATGATATTGATTCTGCCCATCCATGAGCATGGAATGTTTTTCTATTTGTGCCCTCTCTTATTTCCTTGAGAAGTGGTTTGTAGTTCTCCTTGAAGAGGTCCTTCACATCCCTTGTAAGTTGTATTTCTCGGTATTTTATTCTCTTTGTAGCATTTGTGAATGGGAGTTCACTCATGATTTGGCACTCTGTTTGTCTATTATTGGTGTGTAGAAATGCTTGTGATTTTTTTTTTTTCTTTTTTTGAGATGGAGTCTCGCTCTGTCGCCCAGGCTGGAGTGCAGTGGCGCAATCTCAGCTCACTGCAAGCTCCGCCTTCCGGGTTCAGGCCATTCTCCTGCCTCAGCCTTCCTAGTAGCTGGGACTACAGGTGCCCGCCACCACGCCCAGCTAATTTTTTTTTGTATTTTTAGTAGAGACGGAGTTTCACCGTGGTTGCCAGGATGGTCTCTATCTCCTGACCTCGTGATCCGCCCGCCTCGACCTCCCAAAGTGCTGGGATTACAGATGTGAGCCACCGCGGTCGGCCAGAATGCTTGTGATTTTTGCACCTTGATTTTGTATGCTGAGACTGTGCTGAAGTTGCTTATCAGCTTAAGGAGATTTTGGGCTGAGACGATGGGGGTTTCTAAATATACAATTATGTCATCTGCAAATAGACAATTTGACTTCCTCTCTTCCTATTTGAATCCTCTTTATTTCTTTCTCTTGCCTGATTGCCCTGGCCAGAACTTCCAATACTATGTTGAATAGGAGTGGAGAGAGAGGGCATCCTTGTCTTGTGCCAGTTTTCAAAGGGAATGCTTCCAGCTTTTGCCCATTCAGTATGATATTGGCTGTGGGTTTGTCATAAATAGCTCTTATTATTTTGAGATATGTTCCATCAATACCTAGTTTATTGAGAGTTTTTAGCATGAAGGGCTGTTGAATTTTGTTGAAGGCCTTTTCTGCATCTATTGATATAATCATGTGGTGTTTGTCATTGGTTCTGTTTATGTGATGGGTTATGTTAATTGATTTGCGTATATTAAACCAGCCTTGCGTCCCAGAGATGGAGCCGTCTTGATTGTGGCGGATAAGCTTTTTGATGTCCTGCTGGATTCAGTTTGCCAGTATTTTATTGAGGATTTTTGCATCAATGTTCATCAGGCATATGGCCTGAAATTTTCTTCTTTGTGTGTGTCTCTGCCAAGGTTTTGGTATCAGGATGACGCTGGCCTCATAAAATGAGTTAGGTGGTGTTCCTCTTTTTCTATTGATTGGAATAGTTTCAGAAGGAATGGTACCAGCTCCTCTTTGTACCTTTAATATAATTCAGCTGTGAATCTGTCTGATCCTGAGCTTTTTTTGGTTGAATACCACATTTTCTTAATTCATCCATTGCTGGACACTTCGGTTGCTTTCACCTCTTAGCTATAATAATAATGCTGCAATGAACATGGCAGTGCAAATATCTTTTTGAGATCTTGTTTCCAATTCTTTCAGATAAATACGAAGAAGTTGGATTGCTAGATCCCATAGTAATTCTATTTTTTAATTTTTTGAGGAAACTTCACACTGTTTCCCACAGCAACTGCACCATTTTACGTTCCCACTGTCGATGACAAGGGTTCCAATTTTCTCACCAATACTTGTTGCTTGTTATTTTTCAGGTTTGGGTTTTTGGTGTTTTTTTATTATTATTATTTATTTGTTTGTTTGTTTCTAACATAATTGCTATGCTAACAAATGTGAGGTGATGTCTCATTGTTATTTTGATTTGTACTTCCCTGATGATTAAGAGAATATCTTTTGTTCAGCATCTTTACATATACTTGTTGGCCATTTGTATGTCTTCCTTGGAGAAATGTCTATTCAAGTCTTTTGCTCATTAAAAAAATGGTTTATTTGTTGTTGTTGATATTATTGACTCGTAGGAGTTCTTAATAGTTTTAGATATTAACCCCTTTACAGATATCTGGTTATTCCAAGATTTTCTCCCATTTCATTAGTTGCCATTCCAATCTATTGATTGTTTCCTTTGCTGTGCAGAAACTTTTTACTTTGATGTTGTCTCATTTGTCTATTTTTGCTTCTGTGGTTTGTGCTTTTGGTGTCATATATAGGAAATCATTGCCAAGACCAATATTATAAAGCTTTTCTCTTATGTTCTTTTCTAGAAAATTTTATAGTTTTCAGGTATTATGTCTAAGTCTTTCATCCATTTTAAGTTGATTTTTGTGTATGGTGTAAAACAAGGGTCCAATTTCATTCTTTTGAATGTGGCCATCTACTTTTTTTTTTGGCACCATTTTTTTGCACCTTTTGTGTTTTTTTTTTTTGTTTTTTTTTTTTGCACCTTTCCCCATTTTGTGATCTGGGCACGCTTGTCAATGATCATTTGTATATGTTTGGGTTAATTTTTAAGCGACCTATTCAATTCTATTGGTCTATATGTTTGTCTTTATGTCAATACCATATTATTTTAATTACTATAGCTTTGTAGTGTGTTTTGAAGAAAGGAAGTATGAGGCCTCCAGCTTCGATATTCCTTCTTAAAATTGTTTTGGCTATTCTGCGTCCTAAGTGGTTCCATATGAATTTTAGGATATATTTTTTTTAATTTCTGCAAGAAATACTTTTAGGATTTTGATAGGGATTACATTAACTCTGTATCTTGCTTTGGGTAGTATGAGAATTTTAACAATATTAAGTCTTCCAATCCATGAACACAGATGTCTTTCCACTTATTTGTGTCTTCTTTAATTTCTTTATTCAATGTTTTGTAGTTTTCAACATACAAGGCTTTCACTTTCTTGGTTAAATTTATTCCTAAGAATTTTATTTTTGGGATTATTGGAAGTAGGATTATTGAAAGTGGTATTATTTTGTTAATTTCCTTTTCAGATTGTTTTTTGTTATTGCATAGAAGTGGTGAGAGTGGGCATCCTTGCCTTGTTCCTGATCTTAGAAAAGATGGTAGTTTTTCACTACTGAGTATAATGTTAGCTGTGGATTTTTCACATATGGCCTTTATCTGTTGAGGTAAAATCCTTCTAGTCTTAGTTTGCTGAGTGATTTTATCATGAAAATGTGTTGAATTTTGTCAAATGCTTTTTCGGCGTTGATTGAGATGACTGTGTAATTTTTATCCTTGTTCTGTTACTGTGGTATATCATATTGATTAATTTTCATATTCTGAGCCATCCTAGTGTTTTAGGGATAATAGCCACTTGGTCATGGTGTATGATCTTTTTAATGTGCTGTTGAGTTTGGTCTATAAGACTTTTGTTGAAGATTTTTGCATCTATATTCATCAGGAATATTGGCCTACAATTCAATTTCTTGTAGTGTTTGGCTTTGTTATTAGGATAATGCTGGTCTCATAAATGAATTTGGAAGTGTTCCACCTCTTTAAAGTTCTGGAAGAGATTGAGAATAATTTGCATTAATTTTTCTTTAAATGTTTGGTAGAATTCTTCAATGAAGCCATCTAGTCCTGGGTTTTTCTTTGTCAAGAGGTTTTTGATTATGTTGTTAGTCCCCTTACTAGTTATAGATTTGTTTAGATTTTCTGTTTCTTCATGACTCAGTCTTCATAGGTTGTATATTTTTGAGAGTTTATCCATTTCTTCTAGTTTATCCAAATTGTTGGCATATAATGGTTATAGTAGTCTCTTATAACAATTTTTATTTCTGTGGCATCAGTTATAATGTCTCCTCTTTCAGTTTTTTATTTTATTTATTTGAGTCTTCTCCCTTTTATTCTTAGTCCAGCTAAGGGTTTGTCAATTTTGTTGATCTTTTTTATTTTTTATTCCTATTCTTTATTTCATTTATCTCTGCTCTGATCTTTATCGTTCGTTTCCTTCTGCTAACTTTTGGCTTAGTTTTATTTTTTCTATCTTCTTGAGGTGTAAAATTAGGTTGTTTACTTAAGATCCATCTTCTTATTAAATCTAGACATTTACCACTACAAATTTCTCTCTTAATACTACTTTTGCTGCTACCCATAAGTTGTAGTGTTTTGTATTTTCATTTTTGTCTGAAGATATTTTTGAATTTCCCTTTTAATTTCTTCTTTGACCCATTTGTTTTTGTAAGTATGTTTTTTATTTTTATTTTCCATATATTTCTGAATTTTCCAAAATTTCTCCTGTTATTGATTTCAGTTTGATTCCATTGTGGTTGGAAAAGTCTTCTTATATCCATTAGGAACTTTTGTGTTACTTAACACATGTTCTATCCCAGAGAAAATCATCTGTGTGCTTGAGCAGAATGTGTATTCTGCTCTTGTTGAGAGTATGTTCTGTTTATGTTTTTCAGATCTATTTGGTATACAGTGTTGGTCAAGTCCTCTGTTTCCTTGTTGATTTTTTGTCTAGTTGTTCTATTTATTATTGAAAGTGAGTGTTGAAATCTTCTGATATTGCGTCACTGTCTGTTCCTTCATTCTGTTCTGTCAATAGTTTATGTACTTAGATGTTCTGATGTTGGGTGCATATATTTATAGTTGTTTTATTTTCCTGATTAGTTGACCTTTTTAATTATTTTACAATGTTTTTCTTTGGTTCTTGTGATAGTTTTTGACTTAAAGTCGACTTTGTCTGATACAAATGTAAATATCCCTGGCTTTCTTTTATTATTATTTGCCTGGACTGTGTTTCTCCATCCTTTCACTTTCAGCCTATAAGCTTTAGGTCTAAAGTGTGTCCCTTGAAGATAGCATATAGTTGGATCCTGTTTTGTATCCATTTAGATACTCTTTCTAGTTTTTGTTTAACTTTTATTGTAGGTTCAGGGGTACATGTGCAGGTTCATTACGTAGGTAAATTGCATGTCATGGGAGTTTGGTGTACAGATTATTTCAACACCCCAAATAATAGGCATTGTATCTGATACATAGTTTTTAAATCCTCAGTCACCTGCCCCCCTGCACCTTCAGGTAGATTCTGGTGTCTGTTGTTCCCTTCTTTGTATCCATATGTACTCAATGTTTAGTTCTCAGTTATATCTGAATACATGCATATTTGGTTTTCTGTTCTCATGTTAGTTTGCTTAGGATAATGGTCTCCAGCTTTATCTATATTGCCACAAAGGGCATGCTCTTGTCCTTTTTTATGGCTGTGTAGTATTCCATGGTGTATATGTACCACATTCTTTATCCAGTCTACCATTGATGGGCATTTAGGTTGATTCTGTGTCTTTTCTATTATGAATAGGGCTGCAATAAATATACACATGCATATGTCTTTGTGGTAGAATAATTTATATTCCTTTGTGTATATACCCAATAATGGCATTGCTGGGTTGAATGGTAATTTTGCTTTGCGTTCTTTGAGAAATTGTGAAACTGATTTCCAAAATGGCTGAATTAATTTACATTTCTACCAGCAGTTTATGAGTGTTCCATTTTCTCTGCAAACTTGCCAGCATGTATTATTTTTGGACTTCTTGATAATAGCCATTCTAACTGGTATGAAATGGTATCTCATTATAGACACTCTGTTTCTCTTGATTTGAGAGTTCAATCTCTTTACATTTAAAGTAACTACTGATAGGGGAGTTATTACCATTATTATCGTGCGAATTGTCTTCTCTCTTATAATTTTTTGCACGTCTTTTCCTCTCTGTCTTCTTTTGTGTTTCATTGATTTTTTTTTTTTTGGTAATGACATGCTTTGATTTCTTTCTCATTTTTTTTTGTATATCTTCTATAGGTGTTTTATTTCTGTTTACCATAGGGCTTACATAAAACATCTAATATATATAACAGTATATTTTGAACTAATGATGACTTAACTTCAACTATGTAGAAAAAACTCTACGCTTTTGTTGTCCCACACAGAATTTATGTTGATGCCACAAATTACATCTTTTTATTTTGTGTATTCATTAACACATTTTATAGTTATTTTAATACTTTTGTCTTTTAACATCCATCCCAGAATTGGCATTGATTTATGTACTGCCATTATAGTATTACAATATTCTGTACTTATCTATATGGTTACCTTTACCAGCAAGTCTTCTACTTTTATATGCTGTCATGTTGCTGTTCAGTGTCCTTTCACTTTAACTTGAAAGATTCCCTTCAGCATTTCTTATAAGTCAAATCTAGTGGTGATAAAACTCTTTAGCTTTCCTTTGTCTGGAAAAGTCTTTATTTCACCTTCATTTTTGAAGGATAGTTTTGCTAGATATTGTGTTTTTGGCTGGCAAGTTTTTTTTTTTTCTTTTAGATTTTTCAATATATTAACCCGCTTCCTTCTGCAAATTTTCTGCTAAGACATCAGCTGATAGTCTTCTCTCTCTGTGTAGACTCTCTTGTATGTGACAATTCACTTTTCTCTTGATGCCTTCAAAATTCTTTTTTGGATTTTGACTATTTGATTATAATGTGTCTCAGTGTTTTCTTCCTTGGGTTTATCTTATCTGGAATTCATTTGGCTTCTTGAATCTGGATGTTCATTTCCTTCAAAATAGTGGAAAGATTTTGGTCGTTAGTTCTTTAAATAAGCTTTTTTCCCCTTTCTTTCTTTTTCTTCCTCTTCTATTTCTGGGACTGTCATAATGTGTATTTTGGTCCACGTGGTGGACCAAAAAAACTCATTAGGCTTCTTCTTTCTAATGAATTCATTAGGCTTCTTCTCTCTTCATCCTTTTTTTTTTAAATTCCTCTCTAACTGAATACTTTCAAATGACCTGTATTTGAGTTCATTGATTCTTTCTTCTGTTTGATCTAGATGATATTGAACCCATTTAGTGAACTGTAAAATTCAATTATATTCTTCAGCTACAAAATTTCTATTTGGTTCTTTTGCATATTTTCTATCTCTTTATTAATATTTGCATTTTATTCTTACATTTTCCTTGATTTCAATGAGCAGTTTTATGATGCTTATTTTAAATTCCTTGTCAGATAATTCACATACCTCTGTTTCTTTAGTGTTGGTTTCTGGAGATTTATTTCGTTCCTTTGGTTTGACCAACTTTAACTATTTCTTTCTGTGCCTTGTTACTTTGTGTTGGGATCCATGCATTTGAAAAAACAGTTACCTCTCCCAGTCTTTATAAACTAGCTTTATACTGAGAAAGACATTCACTAATTAGCCCAACTGGAGATTCTGTGGGCTTCTCAAACCTTTTCTGTGAATATATCTTCTCTAAACTTGTGCATATACATTTCCCATTAGAGAGGTTTTGTCAGGTTCTCTTGCTCTGACAAGTGAGTGTCACAAATTTCCGTACCGGTTTCAATGCAGTTGATTTCACACTCACTTGGGATGCATGAACCTCTTAACTGCTCTCTGGATTTCTAACAAAGATAATTTGTCTGTGTATTGTTATTGAATCAGTGTCTCCACTGGGGAAGGAGGTAATGGAGCTTTCTATTTTGGCATCTTGCTGATGTCCTCCCTCAAAGCATAATTAATTGTATAAATAAGAACAAATTTCTCTAAAGTATCAAATAGTTATTAGAGCACACAGGTTACAAAAGGGTATTTTTGATAGAGCAAAGTTCCATCCTTCCTTTTCTACCTCTCTTTTCCAACTTACACTGTAGTTGAACTTGGGGTTTGGATTGCAAAGCAAATTTCTAAGGAAAAGGGACCTTACAAGGAAATTTTAGAATAAGTCTTACTGATATTTTTAGAGCATCCAAAATAAGTCTCTTGGGAAGTAAGTTTCTAAAATTTCATCACTCAGTCTTTTCTTCATCACTCAGTCTTGAAGTTGGAAAATCATATTTTTTAGTAGCCTTATAAAAAAGTGTCAGAACTTTATGTAATAAGTAGTTCAAATCACCTCAATTTTCCTACTGTTTTCAAATATCTTTGTCATGAAGTGATGAGTCTCAACTGCAAAATTTTTATTAGCTGTCAACTTTCCATTGACCAATGATTCATTTTCTCATGTAATAAATCACTTCCACTCCACTACACAGTAGGAAGCTTCGTGGTGTGTTTCCAGCATAATTAAAAATAGTTTGTTATTCTCAGCTTCTCCTTGACTATTTGAATAAAGATATTAGAGAACCATCAAAGTCTGCATACTCAACACAGGATTGTCACACAGTTGGTCAGAGTGCCAAAAACCAAAGAGAAGGAAACCACAGTTGAAGAAAAAGCATTCTTCTGGCCAAAAGGAAAGATGAGTACAACTGCCTCATACATTCTATTTCTCAAAAACTGGGTTCATATATGTAAAAATTCACACACACATCTATATACCCAAATATACCTACACACACATAGGTATCTATGGACAGCTGATACATATATATGTATACATGTATATATGTATAGGCATATGAATGTATATGAATAGCTTAATATTTATATTCTATACTGTTTGTACATATGCATATACACCAATATTAAGCTATTCATAAATATGCTGTAAGCTTCTTTTTTAATTATTTTTCCTCTAGAATAGAATACATTACTATATTAGATTTTCATTGTTTTGGAGCTCTCATTTGCCACTTACATTTTCTAAAATAAGTTATATTATTTTATTACCAGGTACAGTGAGAGGGGCAGATAAAACAGAGTATAAATAAAATCTTAAGTCAAGAAAAGGTTGACAATAATTAATTTGAAAATATTATTTCCCAAATAGCTTTCTTTAGATTAAAAAAAAATCTAGTCTAGCAAGCCACATGTTATTGGTAGATATTTTGGTCTCTAGCTATAATGCTACTGATAAATTTTATCCTAATATTAATTTTAGAAACAATATAAGCAAATAAATTATTTTCTTTTTCTTCAAATTTTCATTTCTTTACTTCAATATGTTTTTGGGGAGCAGGTGGTAATTGGTTATATGAATAAGTTCCTTAGTGGTGATTTCTGAGATTTTGGTGAACCCATCACCTGAGCAGTGTACATTGTACTCAATGTGTAGTCTTTTATCCATTGCCACCCCTCACTTTTTTTCCCGAGTCCCCACAGTCCAATGTATCATTCTTATGCCTTTATAGTTTATGCCTCCTCATAGTTCAGCTCCCACATCTGAGTAAGAACATACAATGTTCTCCATTCACGTTCTTCATACGATGTTGGTTTTCTATTCCTGAGTTACTTCACTTAGAATAATAGTCTCCAATTCCATCCAGTTTTCTTTGAATGCCATTATTTCATTCCTTTTTATGAATGAGTAGTACTTCATAGTGTATATACCACATTTCCTTTATCCACTGGTCGATTTGATGGGCATTTGGGCTGGTTATATATTTTTGCAATTGCAAACTCTGCTGCTATAAATATGCATGTGCAAGTATCTTTTATGTATAATGACTTATTTTCCTCTGGGTAGATAGCTAGTAGTGGGAATGCTGGATCAAACGGTACATCTACTTTTAGTTCTTTGAGGATCCTCCACACTGTTTTCCATAGTGGTTGTACTAGTTGACATTCCCACCAACAGTGTAAAAGTGTTACCTTTTCATCATGTCCACACCAACATCTATTACTTTTTGATTATGGCCATTCTTGCAGGAGTGAGGTGGTACAACATTGTGGTTTTAATTTTCATTTCCCTTATAGTTAGTGATGTTGAGCATTTTTCCCCATACTTGTTGGCCATTTGTATATCTTCTTTTGAGAATTGTCTATTCATGTCCTTAGCCCACTTTTTGATAGGACAGTTTGTTTTTTCTCTTCCTGATTTGAGTTATTTGTAGATTCTGGATATTAGTCCTTTGTTGAATGTATACATTGTGAAGATTTTCTCCCACTCTGTGGGTAGTCTGTTAACTCTGCTGATTATTTCTCTTGTTGTGCAGAAGCTTTTTAATTTAATTAAGTCCCGTCTATTTATATTTGTTTTTGTTGTGTTTGCTTTTTTGTTCTGGGTCATGAAGTCTTGGTCATGAAGTCTCTGCCAAAGCCAATATCTAGAATAGTTTTTCTGACATTGTCTTCTAGAATCTTTAGGTTTCAGATCTTGGATTTAAGCCTTTGATTCATCTTGAGTTGATTTTTGTGTAAGGTGAGAGATGAGGAACGAGTTTCATTCTTCTACATGTAGCTCCCCAATTATCCCAGCACCATTTGTTGAATAGATTGTCCTTTCTCCACTTTATGGTTTGTTTGCTTTGTCAAAGACAAGTTGGCTGTAAGTGTTTGGCTTTATTTCTGGGTTCTTTATTCTGTTTCATTGTACTATGTGCTTATTTTTATACCTTTACCATGCTGTTTTGGTGACTATGGCCTTATAATATTGTTTGAAGTCAGGTAATATGATGCCTCCAGACTTGTTCTTTTTGCTTAGTCTTGCTTTGGCTATGTGGGCTCTTTTTTGGTTCCATATGAATTTTAAGATTTTTTTCTAGTTCTGTGAAGAATGTTGATGGTATTTTGATGGGAATTACATTGAATTTGTAGATTACTTTTGGCACTATGGTCATTTTCACAATATTGATTCTACCCATCCATGAGCTTGGGATGTGTTTCTATTTGTTTGTGTCTTCTATGATTTTTTTCAGCAGTGTTTTGTAGTTTTCCTTGTAGAAGTCTTTCACCTCCTTGGTTAGGTATATTCCTAAGTGTTTTTTTTTTTAATTCAGTTATTGTGAAAGGGGTTGAGTTCTTGATTTAATCCTCAACTTGTTTGCTGTTGGTGTAGAACAGAGAGACTAATTTGTGTACATTAATTTTGTATCCTGAAACTTTTTCATTTACCAGTTCTAGGAGCTTTTGGATGAGTCTTTAGGGTTTTCTAGGTATACAATTTTACAATCAACAAACAATGACAGTTTGACTTCCTCTTTGCTGATTTGGATGCCATTTATTTCTTTCTCTCGTCTGATTGCTCTGGCTAGGACTTCCCATACTACGTTGAATAGAAGTGGTAAAAGTGGGCATCCTTGTCTTGTTCTACTTCTTAGGGGGAATGCTTTCAACTTTTCCCCATTCAGTATAATGTTGGCTGTGGATTTGTTGTAGACAGCTTTTATTACCTTAAGGTATGTCTCTTCTATGCTGATTTTGCTGAGGGTTTTAATCATAAAGGGATGCTGAATTTTTTCTGTGTCTATTGAGATGATCATGTGATTTTTGTTTTTAATTCTGTTTAAGTGGTGTATCACATTTATTGACTTACGTATGTTAAACCATCCCTGCATCCCTGGTATATAACCCACTTGATCATGGTGGATTATCTTTTTGATATGCTGTTGGATTCGGTTCTCTATGATTTTGTTGAGGACTTTTGCATCTATGTTCATCAGGGATACTGGTCTGTGATTTTATTTTTGTTATGTCCTTCCCTAGGTTTGCTATTAGGGTGATGCTGGCTTCACAGAATGATTTAGGGAGATTCTCTTTTCCTCTATCTTTTGTAATAGTGTCAATAAGATTGATATCAATTCTTCTTTGAATGTGTGATAGAATTCAGCTGTGAAGCCATCTGGTACTGGACTTTTTTTGTTGGCAATTTTTAAAAATTTTATTTCAATCTTGCTGCTTGTTATTAGTCTGTTCAGAGATTCTATATCTTCCTGGTTTAATCTAGAAAGGTTGTATATTTCCAAGAATGTATCCATCTCTCTAGGTTTTCTAGTTTATGTGGATAAAGGTGTTCATAGCAGCCTTGAATAATCTTTTGTATTTCTGTGGTATCCGTTGTAATATCTCCCATTTCATTTTTAATTGGGCTTACTTGGATCTTCTTACTTCTTTACTTGGTTAATCTTGCAAATGATCTATTTTATTTACCTTTGCAAAAAAACCAGCTTTTTGTTTCATTTTTCTTTTGTACTTTTTTGTTTGAATATCATTTAGTTCTGCTCTGATTTTGGTTATTTCTTTTGTTCTGCTGGGTTTGGGTTTGGGTTTGGATTGTTCTTTTTTCTCCAGTTCTGTGAGATGTGACCTTATATTGTCTATTTGTGCTTTTTCAGGCTTTTTGATATAGGCATTTAATGCTATGGACTTTCCTCTTATCACTGCTATTGCTGTATCCCAGACATTTTGGTAGGTTGTATCACAATTATCATTCAGTTCGAAGAATTTTTTAATTTCCATCTTGATTTCACTGTTTGCCCAGTGAGCATTCAGGGGCAGGTTATTTAATTTCCATATATTTGCATGGTTTTGAGGGTTCCCTTTGGAAGTGATTTCCAATTTTATTCCTTTGTGTTCTGAGAGAGTACTTGATATAATTTCGATTTTCTTAAATTTACTGAGACTTGTTTTGTGGCCTATCATGTGGTCTATCTTGGAGAATGTTCCATGTGCTGATGAATAGAATGTATATTCTGCAGTTGTTGGGTAGAATGTTCTATAAATATCTGTTAAGTTCATTTGTTCTAGGGTATAGCTTAAGTCCATTGTTTCTTTCTTGACTTTCTGTCTTGATGACCTGTCTAGTGCTGTCAGTGGAGTATTAAAATTCCCCATGATTATTGTGTTGCTGTCTGTCTCATTTCTTAGGTCTAGAAGTAATTGTTTTATAAATTTGGGAGCTCTAGTGTTAGGTGCATATATATTTAGAATTGTGGTATTTTCCTGTTGGACTAGTTCTTTTATCATTATATAATGTCCATTTTTGTCTTTTTAAACTGCTGTTGCTTTAAAGTTTGCTTTTTGTGATATAAGAATAGCTACTTCTGCTCACTTTTGGTGTCCATTTGCATGAAATATCTTTTTCTACCCCTTTACCTTAATTTATGTGAGTCCTTATGTGTTAGGTGAGTCTCCTGAAGACAGCAGAAACTTGGTTGGTGAATGTGTATCCATTCTGCCATTCTGTATCTTTTAAATGGAGCATTTAGGCCATTTACATTCAATGTTAGTATTGAGATATGAGGTATTATTTCATTCATTTTGCTATTTGTTGTCTGAATACCTTGTTGTTGGTTTTTCTTTGTGTTATTGTTTTATGGATCCTATAAAATTTACTCTTTATGGAGGTTCTATTTTGGTGTATTTTGAGGATTTGTTTCAAGATTTAGAGCTCCTTTTAGCAGTTCTTGTAGTGCTGGCTTGGTAGTGGCAAACTCTCACACCATTTGTTTGTCTGGAAAAGACTGTATCTTTCCTTCATTTATGAAGCTTAGTTTTGCTGGATACAAAATTCTTGACTAATAATTGTTTTGTTTAAGGAGGCTAAAAAATAGGACCCCAATCCCTTCTAGCTTGTAGGGTTTCTGCTGAGAAATCTGTTGTTAATCTGATAGGTTTTTCTTTATAGGTCACCTGATGCTTTTGCCTCACAGCTCTAAAGATTCTTCCTTTCATCTAGACTTCAGATAACCTGATGACTATTTGCCTAGGCAATGATCTTTTTGCAATGAATTTTCCAGGTGTTCTTTGAGCTTCTTGCATTTGAATGTCTAGAATATTCTCCCAAATATGTTTTCCAAACTTTTAGATTTCTCTTCTTTCTTGGGAATACCAATTCTTCTTAGGTTTGGATGTTTAAGATGGTGCCCAACTTCTTGGAGGCTTTGTTCATTTTTAAAATTTATTTTTTCTTTTTTCTTTTTTAATAAATTGGGTTAATTTGAAAGCCTTGTCTTGATGCTCTGAACTTCTTTCTTCTGCTTGTTTGATTCTTCTGCTGAGACTTTCTAGTGCATTTTGAATTTCTCTAAGTGTGTCCTTGATTTCCAGAAGCTGTGATTGTTCTTTATCTATTCTTTCTATTTCACTGAAGAGTTTTCCTTTCATATCCTGTATCATGTTTTTGATTTATCTAAGTTGGACTTCACCTTTCTCTGGTGACTCCTTGATTAGCTTAATAATCAGCCTTCTGAATTCTTTTTCTGGCAATTCAGAGATTTTGTTTGGGTTTGGATCCATTGCTCGTAGCTGGTATGATCTTTTGTGAGTCCTAAAGAAGTTTGTTTTATCATATTATCAGAATTGTTTTTCTGGTTCCCCCTCATTTGGGTAGACTATGTCAGAGGGAAAATCTGAGACTCAGGGGCTGCTTTTCAGATTCTTTCGTCTCAAGGGTGTTCCCTTGATGTGGTGTTCTCCCCCTTCCCCTAAGAATGAGGCTCCCTGAGACCAAACTGTAGTGATTGTTTTTGCTCCTCTGTGTCTAGCCACCCAGCAGAGCTACTGGGCTCCAGGCTGATACTAAGGAGTGTCTGCAAAAAGTACCGTGATATGGTCCGTCTTTAGGTCTTGCAGCTATGGACACCAGCACCTGCCCTGGTGGAGGTAGCAGGGGAGTGAAATTGACTCTATGAGGGTTTTTGGTTGTGTTTTTGTTTAGTGCACTGGTTTTGTGTTGGTTGGAAGTGCACCTCCAGCCAGGAGGGGATGATTTCAAGAGCGCATCAGTTGTGGTCCTATAGGGAATATGCAAATTTGCCCTAGGGATACCTGGTTAAGTATTGGGGTTTCTCAGAAGGTAGGCAGGGCCATAGAGCTCCCAAAACATTATGACTATTGTCTGCAGCTACCATGGTGAATACAGAAAGACTACCAGGTTGGGGCAGGGATAGGTGTGTCTCAGCCCAGCCTCTCCTTGTGTGGGGCTTGTTGTGACTACTGTATGGGATGGGGGTGTGGTTCTCAGTCTAATGAAATTATATTCCCAGGGGGATTATAGCTGCCTCTGCTGCATCATATAGGTCACCAGGGAAATAGGGGAAAGCCGGCAGTCACAGGCCTCACCCTGCTCCCACACAGCCTGCAGTCCTAAAGGCTGGTCTCACTCCCACCATATCCCCTCAGCAGCACTGAGAATATTTCCAGGCAGCTGGTGACAGGCAGAGAACATGTCCCAGACCACCAGCCTCCCTCCTGAGAAAGCAATTCAACTCACAGTTTTTTTGGCATCTTGGAGAGCCTGCAGCAGTGATTCCGTTCCTTCAAAGGGTCTGTGGATTCTCTCGGCTTTCCTGCTATGTTCCTGTGATAGTTCTTGGAGCAAAAGTTCACTATGTGAGTCTCCACGCGCTGCTCTGTGCATCTGGGCAGGAACTGCAAGCTAGTCCTGCCTCCTATCCACCATCATCCTCTGCAAATAAATAATTTTCAACTGGCATTTATTATTAATCTGTTCCAGGCACTTAATACATGTACACATATTGTCTAGTCTCAATGACCACATTATAGAAGAAGATGTAAAGTAACTTGCCAAACATCCCACAGCCAGATAGTGGCAGAGCTAGAATTGATAGTGAGCAGAGAAAAGAACCATGCTCAAAAATCTTTTATTATTCTTTCTTTATTCTTGGTGTTCAATGAGTAATAACACAGTCTATTTGCTCTATAATCTTAAACTAAAACACGATGTGATAGGAAAGGATAAATTATAATAGTATCATCCTACTTCGTTTTATGGTAAAGCAAATCAGTCACCACAAGAGAGAAAATCACCACACACACACACACACACACACACACACACACACAATAAAATTGTGAAATTATACAAAGTATCATTTTGTTGTCAATATGCCCCTCCAAAGACTGAGTTGATTGTACTACACCTTCTCAGAGCTCTATCTGGGAAAGGATAAGAAGGTTCACATACTTCTTTTTTTTTTTTTTTTCCTAAATGGCAAAAAGCCCAGACTTTTTTGTTACCATTCCATGGTAAACATTTGTCTCTCCAGTCACCCAGATTCATGATTCATTTGTTAGGGGCTTAGTGGGCACATTTTGGCTGTCAGCCTGCCATGTGCCCATGCCGGGCATTGAGTGAGTTCTGTATAGAAGAAGTCTCTCCTTTTTGACCATACAAGAGCATGTGGATGGGCTTTCTAACCAGATGCAGTTTAGCAATGAGATAGGTATGCAACACAGGAAAGGCCTAAGGAGGCACCTCGCTCACGAATTACCACGGGTGCCACACTCAGCACTGAGCAGTGTTGGCCATGGACTACATTACAGCACAGTAGCTGTACTGTTTTATCGTGCCTGTTTATGTGTTAGATAGCACAGAGATGTGACTTCTTAAGGAACCATCACTGTTTGAAACACATAAAGCAAGCCTAGAACTGCTATATTATATGACAACTATGTGTTTGCTTTGTTTCATAATGATTCGTAATGGTCTTTTGAGCATTATGAATCAGGCTATACAGCCTCAGTTTTTACTTCATTTTAAAATGAGACTTCTATCAATACCAATTCTAAAAATGTCCATAAAACATCTGCACTGATGCCCCCTAACCTTGTTGGAGCTCAAGCTTTTGCCTTCAAGAAATCATTGTACAGAACAACAACAGTATAAAACTTGAATAGCTGAGAATGTAAATGTAGAGGAAGTAAACAGGCAAAGGATAGTTAAAACCACATCTTTTCTTTCTGTTAGGTTGGTGCCTTCTCTAACACTTTCTATGTTTCTTATTTCATTCATTCTTTTAATGAATAATTATTGTGTGCCTTCTATGTGCAAGGCACTGTAGTAGGAACAAAAATGGAGGAGATAATTTTGAGGCACAGAGTAGTTTGAGGGGTAGGCTGGTGCTGGGAAGTGTGCTAATAAGCCTAGTTTAAATTAGGAAATGAACATAGTATACCCAAATAACAGCAATATTCAAGTGAGAGAGGAATAAATATAAAGAAGTAAAAAAATTCCCATGTATATTGCCTATGCCAAATTTTATTCACAGCCAACCCTGTAGCCAGAAAGAAGTAAATATTTGTTCTCTGCCTCCCTCCTTCCTGAACTCAGAGTTCTGTCTCAAGCATAATAAGCACAATTCAACTTAATTACACATTCAATAGGTTTCAGGTGGGGAGAGGCTATAATTTAAAATATTTTCTATCAGAAAATATATTTTAAAAGCCAAACCATTTACAAGCAAATTTTGAGAACTGTGTGCACCTACATGGAATCATGTTCTTTCCTTTTCGTAGGACTTAACTCGTCATATAACTATATTCGTAATTATGCAATGATATAGAGCTTAGCTAACTATGTAAAGTTAGGCTGAATATGTAGCAAAATTTCATCTTCACAGTTAAAAGTTCAATATCTATTTATGGCCACTGTATTAGTCCATTTTCATGCTGCTGATAAAGACAATACCCAACACTGGGAAGAAAAAGAGGTTAAATTGGACTTATAGTTTCATATGACTGGGGAGGCCTCAGAATCATGGAGGGAGGTGAAAGGCACTTCTTTTTGTTTTTGTTTTGTTTTTGTTTTTGTTTTCACAGAGTCTCGCTCTGTCACCCAGGCTGGAGTGCAGTGGTGCGATCTCGGCTTACTGCAAGCTCTGCCTCCCGGGTTCACACCATTCTCCTGCCTTGGTCTCCCGAGTAGCTGGGACTACAGGCACCCGCCACCACGCCCGTCTAATTTTTTTGTGATTTTAGTAGAGACGGGGTTTCAGCATGTTAGCCAGGATGGTCTCGATCTCCTGACCTCGTGATCCATCTGCCTCAGCCTCCCAAAGTGCTGGGATTACAGGCGTGAGCCACTGTGCCCGGCCAAAAGGCACTTCTTACGTGGTGGTGGCAAGAGAAAGTGAGGAAGATGCAAAAGCAGAAACCCTTGATAAAACCATCAGATCTTGTGAGACTTATTCAGTACCATGAGAACAATATGAGGGAAACTACCCCCATAATTCAAATTATCTCCCATTGAGTCACTCCCACAATGCATGGGAATTATGGGAGTACAATTCAAGATGAGATTTGGGTGAGTACACAGAGCAAAACCATATCATTCCACCCATGACCCCTCCAAATCTCATTTCCTCTCATTTCAAAACCAATTATGCATTCCCAACAGTCTCCCAAAGTCTTAACTCATTTCAGCATTAGCCCAAAACTCCACAGTCCAAAGTCTCATCTGAGACAAGTCCAGTCCCTTCTGCCTATGAGCCTGTAAAATCAAAAGCAAGCTAGTTACTTCCTAGACACAATGAGAATACAGGTATTGGGTAAATACAGCCATTCCAAATGGGAAAAATTGGGCAAAACAAAGTGGTTACAGGGACTATGCAAGTCTGAAATCCAGTGGGGCAGTCAAAATTTAAAGCTCCAAAATGATCTCCTTTGATTCCATGTCTCACATCCAGGTCACACTGATGCAAAAGGTAGGTTCCCAAAGTCTTGGGCAACTCCACCCCTGTGTCTTTGCAGGGCATACCTCCCTCCTGGCTGCTTTCACAGGCTGGTGTTGAGTGTCTGTAGCTTTCCCAGGTGCATGGTGCAAGCCGTCGGTAAATATACCATTCTGGGGTCTGGAGGACAATGGCCATCTTCTCACAGCTCCACTAGGCAGTGCCTTAGTAGGAGCTCTGTGTGGGGGCTCCAAACCCACATTTCTCTACCACACTGCCCTAGCAGAGGTTCTCCATGAGGGCCCCACCCTGCAGCAAACTTTTGCCTGGGCATCCAGGCATTTCCATACATCTTCTGAAATCTAGGTGGAGGTTCCCAAACCTCAATTCTTGACTTCTGTGCACCTGCCAGCTCAACACCACGTGGAGGCTGCCAAGATTTGGGGCTTGCACCCTCTGAAGCCATAAGCCAAGCTGTACCTTGGCCCCTTTTAGCAGTGGCTGGAGCAGCTGGGATATAGGGCACCAAGTCCCTAGGCTGCACACACAGCATGGGGACCCTAGGACTGGCCCACAAAACCATTTTTTCCTCCTAGCCTTCTGGGTCTGTGAAGGGAGGGGCTGCCATGAAGTCCTATGACATGCTCTGGAGACATTTTTCCCATTGTCTTGGGGATTAACATTGGGCTCCTTGTTACTTATGCAAATTTCTGCAGCCAACTTGAATTTCTCCTCAAAAAATGGGTTTTTCTTTTCTACTGCATCATCAGGCTGCAAATTTTCTGAACTTTTATGTTTTGTTTCCCTTTTAAAATGGAATGCTTTTAACAGCACCCAAGTCACTTTTTTTTTTTTTTTTCAGACGAAGTCTTTGTCGTCCAGGCTAGAGTGCAGCTGTGTGATCTCAGCTCATTGTAACCTCCACCTCCTGATACAAGCAATTCTTCTGCCTCAGCCTCCTGAGTAGGTGGGACTACAGGTATATGCCACCACGCCCAGCTAATTTTTGTATTTTTAGTAGAGATGGGTTTCACTATGTTGGCCAGGCTGGTCCCAAACTCCTGACTCAAGTGATCCACCCACCTCAGCCTCCCAAAGTGCTGGGATTACAGGCATGAGTCACCGTGACTGGCCCCAAGTCACATCTTTAATGGTTTGTTGCTTAGAAACTTATTCTGCCAGATACCCTAAATTATCTCTCTCAAGTTCAAAGTTCCACAAATCTCTAGGACAGGGGCAAAATGCTGCCCATCTCTTGGCTAAAACATAGTAAGAGTCACCTTTGCTCCAGTTCCCAATAAATTCTTCATCTTCAACTGAGACCACCTCAGCCAGGACCTTATTATTCATATCACTATCAGGCTTTAGGTCAAAGCCATTCAACAAGTCACAGGGAAGTTCCAAACTTTCCCACATTTTCCTCTCTTCTTCTGAGCCCTCCAAACTGTTCCAGCCTCTGCCTGTTACCCAGTTCCAAAGTCACTTCCACATGTTTGGGTATCTTTTCAGCAATATCCCACTCTACTGATACCAATTTACTGTATTAGTCCATTTTCATGCTGCTGATAAAGACATACCCAAGATTGGGAAGAAAAAGAGGTTTAATTGGACTTACAGTTTGACGTGGCTGGGGATAACTCAGAATCTTGGTGGCAGGTGAAAGGTACTTCTTATATGGTGGTAGCAAGAGAAAATGAGGAATATGCAAAAGGAGAAACCCCTGACAAAACAATCAGATCTCATGAGACTTATTCACTACCATGAGAACAGTATGAGGGAAACCGCCCCATGATTCAAATTATCTTCCACTGGGTTCCTCCTACAACACTTGGGAATTATGGGAGTACAATTCAAAATGAGATTTGGGTGGGGACAAAGAGCCGAACCATATCACACACTATCTTTCTACCTATTATGGATTCAAAACTGTTTGTGTGTGTGTGTGTGTGGATTTCTAGTATGAGACTTTTTATCCTAAACATTTACCAATAATACATTAATTATAACTTAAAGTATTTTCTCCTTGAAGTTAAATTTGTGGTAGAATTCTTAAACTTTAAAAACTTAGAATTCATTCAATCCTTTTTTTGGGTGAAGTTTTTGAAGCAGTGAAAGAAAGGATTTTTTTTTCGATTCTGTACCAAGATCATTCCAACACTACATAATTACAGTCTTGTGAGTAATTTTAAATGATTTTCTGAGAGATCAGCTTAGTTACTGAACAAAATTTAACAAAAAAATTAGTTAAATCTGAAGTTGCTATGCTTATGGTGCAGGTACATTCTTACATTCTTTTTCTTCTCCAAAATTTTTCAGATCCAAACACCATATCAGAGTTAATTGCTTTTTAGGGCTTATATTTAGAGACATTTTAATAAAAGTCATGAGACTTCATCCTGTGTTTTTATGGGACTTGAATCTAAAGAGATGAATCCGAGTGGTTGTTAAATCTGAATTAATATTGTTGACATTCCATTGGCAACACAACTGCTGATTTGGAATATCTGTTGTGACTTTAGTACACTTTAGTCATGAAGATTGAGTGCAAAATATTATAAGATTTCAAAAAAATTTTGAAAAGTTCATTTTGGGTCACAAATGTGGTTCCCACTTGTATTTCTCTAGTTACATTTTAACAGCAGAGTAAATGTCCAGCACGACTGACATTCTGGGAAAAAGAATTAACTAAGAGGTTTTTCAAGTTTTATGAATAGAAAAATCACAAGAGAATTCAGATAGCCCCAAAAAGCTGTTGACATATTATGGTAGAAATCCCTGCTCACTAAGGAGTACTTACAGAATAATCATTCAGAGAAAGGTGAATTTTGGCTATGCCACTTCATAGCTCAGAACTTGTGATTTTATGCAAAATACTTCAACATTCTTGGCCTTGATGTCCACATATGTAAAATGAGAGAAATAATGGATACTATATAGAGTTATTATAAGGATGAAATGAGATCATGAAAAAAAGTGGCTGAGACATTGTAGCTTTGCAATACGTGGTAGCTGTATAGCTGTATATGCCAGGAAAATAAATGCTGAACAATAATGAGTGACTAAATCACAACAATCTTGTGAATTCTGGGCCCGAGTCCTAAAGAACTTGTGAAAAACCACGACCTTTTCATTGACTGGTATGTGTTTTGTGTAAGAAACATGTTTATAATGTATGAGAGATTGAAGTTCAATTCTCTTATTTTCTTTCACTCAAGAGACATCATAGTGTCATGCTCTCAATATTGTTCTTTTTAATACTTATTTGAAGAACTGAGTCTATGCTGCCTAAGAATTTATGATTGGTAATGGGAATTAATCATATAAACTAGACCCTGCGTATGTGTTAGCTAATGCTTTACCTTTGTTTAGTCTAGAAATGCCTTAACTTTATTAAATACCTACCTCTTAAAAAAGTACTAAGAAATTGCATTGTTGGAAATTTTAGGAAAGACTACGTGGGGTGATTTGGGGAGTTGTCCTATAAATTATCTTTGCAGACTTCTGGGTACCCTTCTGCGCATAAGGCAAGTTCTGCCTGTAGCTTCTCTGCTGTTTTCACGTTCCACTTCAGGTAAACGAGGGACTGTGCTGTTTAATCACACGAGCCTATGTGACATAATTTATGCACATAAGCATAATATGATTTATCTGCACAAAAAAAAAGACAAACAATATAGAAAAGCAATGTACACAAAGAAATTCACAACAGTATTTTTTATAGTAATATTAGAAATGACCTAATCACTCACAAGAGGGAAATGACTGGATAATTATCAAATTAAGTCAATGAAATATTAGTTGCTAAAGTAGTAATTATGAACATGACAATGTCATAATATAATGTTACTTAAATAAAACAGAACAAAGATTGCATTTCCTCATCATTACAACTTCAGAAAATATGTAAGCATGGATAAATTCTAGAAGTAAAAACCAAAAATCATACATGATAGTGAAAATTGTGTGTATTTGCCCTTTCTTTTTAACTTTCCTCTACTGCCATAATTATGCTGGTACAAAAGAAATAAATATAGAGTAAGCAATAAAAAATTCAATGTGATCTACAAAATGTATAGCACTGTATAAAATATGTTCAAGTATTATTCTGTATGTAAAAGTTTAACTTCAGACTATTTAAATTAATAATTATAGGTATAGTTGAATACATACAGTAATGTTTGTCAGTTAGTATATCTAAAAAAAAAAAAAACCAGAGTAAATGAATTAGAAGTAGAAGACACAAATTATTGCCTCTACTAAGCCACTAAGTGACAATTTAACTTGAGACGGTTTATTTTTCTGAAACTGAATTTTAACTGTAAAACTCAGGAATTGACCAAGATTCTTTCAGGTATGTTTCCAGTCTGAAGTTTTTTTATTCTGAGCCTAAAGCTCTCTATCCAAGCTTTATGTAATGTTTACACCCTTTATTTCAGGCACTATCCTTATAATAATACTAATTACTACTATTGTATTTATTAGAACATCTGCTGGAAATGTGACTTAATTAAATCTTAAATGATTACAAGTTATATCCACTATTTAAAATTTCTTCTCAGCTCCCTATCAATCTTAAGAATTTTATCTTTGGAGATAGCTAAGGTAAAAATTATATATATATATGATTTCTTTTATATATAAATATATGAAAAATATATATTCTTTCATATATATAAATTTTATATATGATATATATAATTACTCTATCTGAAAATGAAAACTAAAGTGTATTTTTATACCTGCTTTTTGTTCTTTTTAAACTTTTCAACCTAAAAAGTGTTTGTGCACAATTTTAATTTTGCAATTTAATTAGATCATAGAATTATAAGATACAATTTTTTGTAAGAATATAATTGGATAAGGTTTTTTAAATTAACAGACTAATTAAAAATTGGTAAGAATTTGAAGTGATCAAATTAGTTTATGAATATAAAACAAACTACCGAGGGTATTTAGAAATAAGCTCCAGCAAGGAACTTCAGACTGTCTTAAACAAAACATATTCTCATTCTTACCTGCTCCTTACAACTGATTAGAACAATTACAAATGAGCTATAAAGTTAGGGCCATCGAGAGGCAGCTTGCTTTTTGATATTTTCAGTGTCAGGAATGAAATGAATTGCCTTCAATCAAGGACTGGTAATTACCACAATTCAGGAGCTCACCACCTACAGGAAATGAAAAGACAGAACATAAAGTGTGTTATAGCAGCTTACGTTGCTTTGATCTTCAGCAAAACTCCATTTGCTGCAGTATCCTGGCATTCTCCACTTTATTGAATGTGAGGGTTCGTAATGGACACGGCGAGTTACTGACTAATTTCAGTGAGGAAACTCCACCTCTTTCTCTCTTATTTTCATGTTTGACAAGAAGCTCTTTCTCCTACAGATAAACACCTTAAACTTTATCTGATATGGCATGAAGTAAAACAGTGTCAATTTGAGGACACAGACAAGTTTGAATGAGCTACATAAACATTTAGGCTTTGTTGGACCAACTAAATTTTATTATAAATCTCTCCTCAAACACGTTATAGTCTGCACTCAAAGTCGCTTGTCCAATAAAAGCCTATTTATTTTTTACCTCTATATTTACTTGTACCAGCACATAGAAATTTTTAAGACTCAAGAGAAGACAAATCACAAAATATTCAGCACCAGAAACCCCACATTTTAAAATTCCATGGGGTTTGGGGTTTGATTATTTAGCACAAGCTGTGGGTCAGATGAAAGACATTCTGGTCAGAGGGTTTATAATTTTAGATGCTTTATTTCCTGTGTAATATTTATGATGTGGCATTTCTGGAAATAAATGGTCAGGGAAGGTACAGAGAGCAACATTTTCATGAGAGCTGGTAGAAAGTTTGGCGATAGAGATACAATAACAGGTAAAATAAACTCTTCCCATAACCCCTTTTTGTCTTACACACAAGCAACCCCTCTCTTGAGATAGGCTAACCCAATAAAGCCTGGTTGAGGTATGTCTGTTCATTAATCCAACATTTAATAATTCTCTCCCATGTACCAGGCACTGTACAAGGCACCAGATCTGGCAATGACTACCAAGGCAACCTCTAATAGGAGCAAATGCTCATTTAAAACCCTCCAGCCAACATGGCAAAACTCCATCTCTACTAAAATTACACAAGTTAGCTGGGCGCGGTGGTGCGTGCCTGTAATCCCAGGTATTCGGGAGGCTGAGACAAGAGAATCGCTTGAACCCAGGAGGCGGAGGTTGCAGTGAGCCGAGATTGTGCCACTGCACTCCAGCCTGGGCGACAGAGCAAGACTGTTTCAAAAAAAAAAAAAAAAGCCTCCAGCCTAAAATGACTCCTTTAGTTTTTGTCCACTGGTCATTCTATGTAACCCATTTAGAATCTGGCTTTTAAACTAAGATAATTAAAGTGAGATTAAGAAACTATTAAGACTGACAGGAGAAAAATGTCAGCAAGGACCTTTAGGTTTATCTACTGAATTTGTCTCATGAAATGCTATTCAGTGACATTTACTAAACTGAAGTAGCTACAACTATGTACTTCTAATTGGAAAAAAATTTCATGTAGCTTGAATATGGGTATGGGAATAAGGGGAAAATGAGAGTTACTTAACTGCTGTGGTTTGAATGTGTCCCCCAAAGTTCAGGTATTGGAAATTTAATTCTCACTGCAACAGTATTGAGAGTTGGGATCTCTAGGAGGTAATTAGATCGTGAGGGCTGTGCCCTGGATTAATGCTGTTATCACAGGAATGGGTTAATTATCATGGGAACAGGTTCCTGATAAAGGTGATTTCAACTCTGTCTTGCCTTCTCATGCTTTCTTACCCTTCCACCTTCTGCCATAGGATGATGCAACAGAAAAGCCGTCACCAGATACCAGCACCTTAATGTTGGACTTCTCAGCCTCCAGAACTGTAAGAAATAAATCCCTGTTCTTTATAAATTACCCAGTCTCAGGTATCCTGCTATAGCAGCACAAAATGGACTATGATAGAAAATTGGTATGAAGGAGTAGTACCATTGTTATAACAAATACCTAAAAATGGAAGCCACTCTGGAACTGGGTAAGGGGTAGAGTATGGAAGAATTTAGAGGAGCAGGCTAGAAAAAGCCTAAATTGCTGTGTATTACTCCAGGATGGTAAGAAATAAATCTCTGTTCTTTATAAATTGCCCAGACTCACAGCACAAAACAAATTAAGACATTAAGATTTGCCCCATTCTTAGAATTCATTTCTTCCATTTTCCCTTTAATTAAATCAATGCCAGCATCTAAGCAGTGTGCACCTTTTGACCATAGTCTTTCTAATTGACCAGAAGCTTAGATGTGGAAAATGCAAAAACTATGCACATTTCTGATGGGTTTAACTTCTGAGAAATTTTTACAAGGTTTTCCTTATTTTATCTGCTCCAGTAAACCTGTGGTTTCATGAACAGGCCTAGAATTTGAGATTCAGCTTCTAAACTTCAAAGGTGACCTTTCAACCCATTTGTTTATAGACTCGGTATTAACCTTTTGAGTTCTAGAATAGGGTTTTAGAACTTACTTTCATAAAAGTTTATATAGTCAATTCCATTCATTTATGCTAAGGACATAGAATATTTCTAGATTGCACAATATGTTTCTGTGGGAATTGAATGGAAATCCAGGTTTCCTGACAAGAAACAAAGGATCTTTGGGAGGCCGAGACAGGCGGATCACGAGGTCAGGAGATCGAGACCATCCTGGCTAACACGGTGAAACCCCGTCTCTACTAAAAATACAAAACTTAGCCGGGCATGGTGGCGTGCGCCTGTAGTCCCAGCTACACGGGAGGCTGAGGCAGGAGAATGGTGTGAACCCGGGAGGCGGAGCTTGCAGTGAGTCGAGATCACGCCACTGCACTCCAGCCTGGGTGACAGAGCGAGACTCCGTCTCAAAAAAAAAAAAAGAAAAAAAAGAAACAAAGGATCTCTTAGTCTCTCTTGATCCCAGTCACTTCTGAAGAAAAAAAATTATTTACCTGAAGTCCATTGCTTCCTTGTGGGATTCTTTTTTTTTAAATGCTGGATTGTGGATTAAATAAAAAGATCTGAGAAATAGGTCAGAAATTAAATCCTGGTGTTGTCATGGTGTTTTTTAAATAGCACCCTTGAAATTGGTTGCAGAACATACATTTTATCTGATTCTAATTATGTGGAATTTCGAAGTCATTTTGGTAACAGAACTACTCTAACCTGTTATTAAACTCAGGATTTTTTTAAGAAATAAAAATTGCTTGGTAAGAATGTTAACGTTTAAAAAACTATTAATGAATCAGACCAACAAAGCCTACTCAAATGAATCTGTATCTTTATTCATGGTTCAAGCATTACTTCCACTTAACTAAAAATGAATATATCCTCTGGAACTTAAAATAAAGGTTGAAAAAAAATGAATGCATATTTAATCTTTTATGGTTACAGATATAATAGAAAAATTGTTTCTGCCTCAAAACCCTACTTTTAAATAATTAATGAAATATAGACAATAATGTCTCTAAAATTGCATTTCCCAGGGATATATCTATTTAACTCCTGATTCTTTTGTTAACATCACCAATACATGGGAAAAGAAACTGAAGCTTTTTAAATTACATGCTAATATATGGCCATCAATTTTAAGGGATTTTGAAAAGTCCGCAATAGTAAAAATAGAGTAGGAAAAATTATAGTGAAGAAATAAAATAAAATAAATTAGCTAAACAATTAGGCTCTATTTATTTGAAGGAAGTATTTAGAAGTATGTGCTGATTCTTATGTTCTCATACTTCAAGATGAGATCATGTTGGCATGCACTATTAGGGCCCTCACTCTTGTCCATATTGTTTTGGCAAGCTTTAAGCAGGTGGCTCTGTAATATGGTAATACCTTCTCTTTGGATAACTCTTCATTTCAAAGCAATCTGTAGACATTACACCTTTAATTACAGGAGACCTCAAGGCACAAAGCAAAAGAAGAATGAATTTCATCATGGGAATATACAAAGCAAGGCATTAACATCTATAGTTAAATAAGTCAGCATCAAACTTCTTGCTGTACCACCCACCATTTCACACAGTTCAGCTAGCTGACTCGTTCATACTTTAAGGCTAATCAGAATAAATTAATGATTCATCACTAATAAAGATGCAGAGTGTGTACCTTTATTCTTCAGTAGGGTAACGTGACCCTTCTGAGTACTTCTGGAGCAAATGTGTATGAAGTGCTAGGTTTTTTGTCACTAAGTCTATGTACTCAGAAAAGACACAAATTTTCAGTATTCTGGTTTACCACTTGCCAGGCAAAGGAAACTGTAAATAAATGTTTCACCACATATTTATGTGAAAAAAATTAATTGGTGGATGGGCTTTGTTGTGATTCTTAATAATAATGAATCATAGTTTTACACATATAGTAGGATGAAGCATTTGAGATTTGATTCTAGCATTTCTGTCTATGTGTTTATAATTTATCCAATGGAAGTATTAAAAGAAAAGCTTTTTGGGAGGCCTTATTTGAGTTCAGAAGTCTCACACGCACTTCTGTCAAGTGATGTAATAGGAATGTGTTTAAGATCAGCAGATGATATATTGAGTGTAAACATAATGTGCTCATGATGAAAGCCAAAACACTAATTTAATTGATTGGAAGAAAACAGAAATTCACCAGGAGTCAAAATCCCAAATAAGAGGTCCGTGTTTTCAAGGCTTATTTTAATAGTATTAACTACTTCAACAAATTATTTTTCTTTGCTTTTTTCCATTCACTTAAAAATATTTAATGGTTTTATTGAACTATATTTTACATATAAAATTCGCCCGTTGAAAATATGCAACTTGATGATTTTTAGTAAAATTTAGAATTGTGCAAATATGATAGATTCCATTTTAGATAATTTCTGTCATTCTAAAAAGATCTTTAATGTCCATTTTTAGTGAAATCTGCTCCCACCCCCAGTCCCAGCAAACACTGATAAAATTTTCATCTACTTATTTTTGCTTTTCCTAGAAATTTCATATAAAAAGTGTGGTTTGCAAAATAAAATCCCCTGCACTTGTGAATGTTATATCACATTGGAAAGGGGACTTCGCCAACGTAAATTGCGTACAAATGCGGAGATTATCCAGGACTATCTGGATGGGCCCAATGTAATCAATTCAGCCCTTAAAAGCACAGAAACTTTCTCAGCTGGGTCAGAGAGATACAATAATGGAAGAAGAGTCAGAGAGATGCAATGCAAGAAAGACTCAGTCTGCCATTGATGGCTTTGAAGTTAGAGGAAGGGAGCCATGAGTCAAGAAATGGAGGGGACCTCTAGAAGGGAACAGTCAGAGAAATAGATTACCCTCTAGAGCCTCCAGAAAGAGACACGGCCCTGTCAATTTAGCTTAGTGAGACCCATGTCAGGCTTATGGCCTCCAAAATGATAAGATAATACATTTGTATTGTTTTATGTCATTAAGTTTGTAGGAATTATTATGGTAGCAATATAAAACTCATAGAAATGACTTCTTTCATTTTGTATTATTTTGAGATGCATTCATTTTGTTGCATGGATCATTCTATTTTATTGCTGAGTATCATTCTATTGTATTGACACCAAACTTTGTTTTTCCAATCACCTGTTGGTGGGCATTTGGGTCGTTTCCAGTTTTTGGCTATTGTAAGTGATGATTTTATAAACATTTATGTACAAATCTTTTTGTGGATATCTAAATATATGATTCTGTTTCTCTTGGATAAATACCTAAGATTAGAATTGCTGAGTCATATGGTAAAGGGATACTTAACTTTTAAAACCTCCCAAACTGTTCTTCAAAATGGTTGTGCCATTTTACATCCCCACCAATAATGTATAAAGGTTCCAGTTTCTCGAAATATTTGCCAACACTTGGTATGGTCAGTCTTTTTGATTCTAGTCATTCTAGTGGGTATATAATGATATCTCATTGTAATTTTAATTTGCATTATCCTAATGACTGATGATGTTGAGCATGTCTTCATTTGGTGTTTTTATTATTATTTTTAGCCATACATATATCTTCTTTAGTGAAATGCCTATTGAAATATTTTTCCCATTTTCTTGTTGAGTTATTTGTCACCTTATTACTGAGCTTCAAAAGTTCTTTATGTATTCTGTTCAATAGCCAGATGACCTCACCTTCTAGCATTCACACCCTTGAGTAGTGCCTTCCTCATTGCTCCAGGATTGGTCTGACCAACAGAACCAAACAACATATGGCAGAAATGGTGGTATATCACTTCCAAGGTTAGGTTATAAGAGACTGTGTTTTCCATCTCAGCTTCTTTTTCTCCCCTGCCAAACCCCTTTGCATCATTCATTCTGGAGAATCCAGCTGCCGTGTCTTGAGGACAATCAGATGGCCTATAAAGGGCCCCTGGGACAAGGAACTGAGGTATTTTTCCAACAGCCAACAAGGAACCGAGGCCTGCCAACAACCGTATGAGTGAGCACGGAATTGTCTAGCTCCAGATGACTGTGGCTTTGGCCAACAGCTTGTCTTGAGACACCCTGAGCCAGCACCACTCAGCTAAGCCACTTCCAGATTCCTGCCCCTCAAAACTGTATGGCTTGTTGTTTTGAGATGCTAAGTATTAAGAGTAATTCAGCAATAGATGACAACTATATTCTGGATACAAGTGTTTATTATATGTATGATTTGCAAATATATTTCTCACTTTGTGGTTTGTCTTTCCATTTTTGAAATGGGATCTTTCGAATACCATCAGTTTTCAATTTCGATGAAGTCAAATTCGCCAATTTTTATTTTGTGAATCAGGCTTTCAGAATCATGTCTAAGAAATTCTTGCCTAAGGACACACATTGTTTATCGGATGTCTTCTTCTAAAATGTGGATAGTTTTAATTTTTCTACTTATGTCTCAGATCCATGTTTATTTAAATTTGTATATGATGTAAAGTAAGCATCTGAGATTTTTTGTTTTGGTTTGGTTTGGTTTTTGTTTTGCATATAGCAATCCATTTGTTCTAACACCACTTGTGGTAAAGATTATTGTTTTCCTCTTGAATTGCCTAGGCATCTTTGTTAAAAATCAATTTACTGTAAATGTGTGGGTTTTTTACTGGGTTCTTCATCCAGTTTTATTGATCTACATATCTATTATTATACTGATGTCATACTGCATTGATTACTGTAACTTTGTATTAAAATTTGAAATTGCACAGGTCCTCCAACTTCATGCTTCTTTTTCAAAACGTAAATTGGAATCATGGCTATTTGTTATTAACAAACTCTTCTTTCAACAGCATAATAATATTTTTGAAATGAATAAAACAGATGAATCAGTTTTGATAAAAATTAAGATATCCAAAATGTTTTCAGAGGTTTTTACCATAGTAAAAAAAAAATACAAACTTAAATAACTATTATTCACCTATGGTTTTCTCAATGGCTACATTTCATAATGTTAGGACTGATTAACACCAAAAGCAATATCCAATATAAAAAAGCAATGATGTCTTTTGAAAGGATTTTAACTATTTATTGATAGCATGTAACTTTATTAAGAAAACAGGTAACATGAACAAAAATTTAAATTATTTTTCAGCACTTATCTATTGGTCATGAGAATTTAGAAGCTAAATCCTCATATTGCTTTTAGTGGCATAAATTGTTCCAAAAAATGTTTGGAGAATAATTCATAGATTTCAAGGAATATTTTAAGATTACTTTTGTACTGTTTATCAAAACTGCTTATTATTTTCTGTTTTTTTTTGTTTTTTTATTGTTTTTGCTTTTCCTGAAAGAGTACAAATATCAATTGAATTAAACTTTTCTGTATATTATTTCAAAGTATTAAAAATAGTACCCAGTGGCAATTTTTTGTTCATCAAGACACTGTGAAAAATTGCCAATATTATGCAAAAATAAGGTTGTTTTTATTAGGACTATTCCTATTTACTACTTAAATTGGATAAGCTTTAAAGCATCATGTACAGACTTAAAAAGCTTTGTCCTTATTGACACTCAAAAAACCCAGGAAATCTGGACATTTAATTTTCTACTACCTCTTTCATGAAAAAGCATAATAAAGATTTTCTTGTTTTACTCTCTATGTTCCTGTTGTATCAATGCTATCAGTCTAAGAAGAATCATTTAAAAGTTTGATTAAGTGAAATATCTGAGAGTTATTAGCTGGTACACTCATTTTGCAGTCTGTGTAAACAGGATGATTACCTCTAGTGTTGGATCTCTGTCACTATCAGACAATTCCAAAATGAACGAAAATGTCAAAATCTGAAATTTCCTGTTTACTTCTGACTCTGAAAAGAGTCAACAAGGCATATGTGACATTTAGCCTAATTACCATGGTTGCAAAAAATCATTTAGAAAAGTGTCAGTGAACATAAACTAATATCCTTCATCTCATATTAACCGGTTTAATAGTTTTCTCTAAATCTTTATGGAAGATAATTTGGAAAGGTCTTTCATTGTCAGTTTACATTTGAGTTGGGTTGTGTAAATATGTGGAAGTATATCTGGGCATCTTTCAAGATCAGTTAATTTGGGGTTAGGGTTAATCCAAAATTCTTCTATTTGGCATATACTAGCGTATCTACTAAAATTCAATAAAATGGGTAGCCTATATAGAGGTATTACTTATATAAATTATAAGAAGGCTCCAAAAATGATTAGAATATGTTAAATGACACATGTAACAAGATAATAGGCAAATTACTGAAAATTGCTTTTCCTATGAGAGCTAATGCTAAACTTCAGTTTTTGCTGAACTTTAGTTTTTGCTGTTATGTCTGCCACTAGATGAGGTATGTCTGAATATACCACCCAGAGTGCAGGCAGAAATTTCTATGTTTGAAAATTTTAAAAATAAATAAAGCTAGATTTATTTCATGAAATAAAAGTGTTTTGAATCTCACTTAATTAAATAAAAATGGTAAAGAACAAAGCACAGTGATTTCAATGCTGAGATCTGTGCTCCACAGACAAAGATTCCATTTCTGACCGACACATTGATATGCTTTCAGGAAGCAGTAATGCCATCAAAACATTAAGTTCAGATACCCTGAACTCTTTACTGACTGATTTGTCAATCAGCCCTCTGCATTTTTTTCTGATCCAATCTTTTATTACATATGCATTTGTAAAAATTGAAGTCCTGCCATTTGTTACTTTATTTTTCTGTATTTATATATTTTAAATTTTATTAAGAAAACAGGTAACATGAACAAACATTTAAACTATTTTTCAGCACTTACCTGTTAGTCATGAGAATTTAGAAACTAAATTTTCATAATGCTGTTAGTGGCATAGGAAATTGTTCCAAAAAAATGTTTGGAGAATAATTCATAGATTTCAAAGAATATTTTAAGATTACTTCTGTACTATTTATCAAAAACTGCTTGTTGTTTTCTGGGTTTTGGTTTTGGTTTTGGTTTTGTTTTGCTTTTCCTGAAAGAGTACAAATGTCAATTGAATTAAACTTTTCTGTATATTATTTCAAAGTATTAAAAATAGTACCCAGTGGCAATTTTTTTCTCATCGAGACACTATGAAAAATTGTCAATATTATGCAAAAATAAGGTTGTTTTTCTTATTACTATTCCTATTTACTACTTAAACTGGATTAACTTTAAATGGTCCTACTTAAACTGATTCCTCAATCGGACATTTATTCTACGTTATACTAATCTTTTTTCTTTTTCAAATGTTATATTTTAAGTTTATAAATTTGTGTACCATTCAGCAGCTGGGAGAGTAATACAGGAAGGACATTATTTTCCACCAAGTAAAATATAGCACACAAAATGTTAGAAGAGGAGAGCTTGGATGGTTAGGCGAATTATGACAAGCCTTCCATACCTCTCTATGTCCAAGGAAATATAGAATTTTTAAAAGGACTCTACTATATGCACCATATTTTAACTTCCGTTTACATAGGATGGGGGATTTTTTTTACTTTTAAAAAGGAAAGCAAGGAGAGAGTTAGTATCTAGCTTTGTTATACTACATCCTGATTTTGCATTGTTACACTATTGTCCAATGTTTTATAAAGTATGTTGTAACAAACATTTGATGGTGGGAGTCACGAGAGGCTATGTGTAGCCATAATGAAGTGCTAGTCTATCTAAACAGACTTGGTTTCTACTTTACCAAATCAGTAACTTTTCTGATAAGTGGTAAATTTCTTCACACATTTGATCTTATTTTGAGTTAAGGTTTGCAGATTATGTTATAGTTCATTGAAGTCCACAGCAGTTTTCAGTCTTTTCTAAGTCACATTAAACATGTATCATTAGGGGCAGAATGGAAATATGCACAGCTATTTTAATAAAAGCTAGGAGGCCGGGTGCAGTGGCTCACGTCTGTAATCCCGGCACTTTGGGAGGCTGAGGTGGGTAGATCACCTGAGGTCAGGAGTTCAAGACCAGTCTGACCAACATGGTGAAGCCCCATCCCTACTAAAATACAAAAAGTTAGCCGGACGTGGTGATACATGCCTGTAGTCCCAGCTACTTGGGAGGCTGAGGGAGGAGAATCGTGTGAACCCGGAAGGTAGAGGTTGCAGTGAGCCGAGATTATGCCCTTGCACTCTAGCCTGGGCAACAAGAGTGAAACTCTGTCTCAAAAAAAAAAAGCTAGGACGTTCTCTTGGCAAAACCAATATTATTAATAAACATAACCCTTTTTTTTGTTTGTTGCCTATGATGACATTCTTAGATTTCAATAGAAATGAGAAATGTAAATAAGCAGTCATTTCACAATTTAATGGTTCAGACTATGACAAGTTCTAGAAATGAAATTTCCTACCGTCAATGATCTCTGCCTTCCTAGCCTAGTTAACATGGTAAGGAACATCACTTCTGGTAATCCAGTCAGATGCCGTATTCAGTGTGAGTGGCTGAGTGTAAGCAGACATTTTTTCTTGTGTCTCACATGACATTGGCTTGGTCTAAGTCTTGTCTGGCATCCTGTTAAGTCTATATGACACAACTTTTACTATGCTTTTCCAGCTCATTCTTTTCTCGAGTTATGGACTAAAAATGCAGAACTAATATTCCCAAATGTTTTTACTAGACTTCTTCAGAACATTAGGAGTACTATAGATAACACCAGTATTATTGTATTGGTTTCTTTAAATAGTTTTTGAGTTTCTGTTTGTTTTTTTTTTAACTGTCACAAGCAATGTATTGAATATATAGGGAGTTATATTTTAACAGAATTTCAAAATAGAAAAAGAGCATTTTACTTTTTTGGATTCATGGGAATTTTCAAAATCATTATTCAAAAATAATGCTTCTCAAATTTATTGAATCATAGTATATGCTCTTTGCTGGCACACTCAAATCTGACTTTGAATGTCAAAACTAATTTTTTATTGTTTCTCTGTAATTTTCAGCAAGATTACAGACCAATAATCAAAGGAAATAAGGAGATTATGTGACACAGTGTCCTTTATTCTTTTAGAGCAAACTTGGTATTGTTAAATCTACCTGTAACCATTTGGCTTTTCTTTTTAATGAGTGAATGGTCTTGTAATAATTTTAATTCTAGTAAAGATTTTATGTATCAGTGATAAATTAGTGCTGCTAAGATTTGATTTATAATTTTAAATATATGTAGACAGTAAAGAAAATCTGCACATAGGAATTGTTTCAGAAAGAATGAGTTCACTTTCTTTTATAATTATTTGTGATTCTATGTGTGATGGTATGTGTATTTAAGCCTACTTATATACAATCATATAAGTTTTAAAATATAAGATTATCATCAATTTTTCAACTAAGATAAATTATATTTAATTTGGGGCTTAAAAACTCAGGCAATAATAGAAAATAAGGGTTCCCTTCTAAATTTATTGCTGTCAAGATGAAATACCAAATATCATAAGCATTGTCCTTTATAATTCCAAGTATGTTTTACTTTTGAGAGTTTCGTGATGTGCCATTTGGCCTCTTGTTTTACCTCCTTGTTTGCCAAGACAAGTCTCAAAGGGGTGTATGAAAGATATTTGGGGCCAAATAATAAAGTGTGGTTGAAAAACACTTAACCTCCTGTAAATACAGTTTTACTGAGAGAATATCAAGATTTGCATCTCCAGCAATAATACCAGGTAGTCTTGTAAAATTCCTGATGTCTTTGCTTTACTTTGTTTATATGTAGAATTTTAGAGGATCAATGATGTTACATGTAAGATGGTACATAATTTAAGTTTCTAAGTTCAATTTCTCTGTAAATTAAAAATCAGCAAAGTAGTGTTTGATTTAAATGAGACATTTTCTTTGAAAGGATTGTGTCAGAGATTGTTGTCTAGAAGAAAAAAAAGACTTCCTTAACATACACGGTACCTTAAAGAGATTGTGGTTTGTAACTCATTTGACAACTGTCTATAAAAGTGGTTTCCAATATATATGATAATAAATCTTTGCTTAGATCTTATGTCTGCTTATTTATGTTTAATTACAAAGTAGCCTTTGCAGTGGCCCTGCTTCTTCTGGTATTTTATCTTATCATGGAAGCTTACATGTGCAGGTGTTCCTCACTGCTTGGTTTTGCAATGCCATTGGAGATATGTCATGTAAGGTGAGCTGCTGAAATCAGCTACTCAAGGACTATTGCATGACTCCCAAGAGTTCTGTGCTTCCTCCCACAGCTTGTACCTACTAAACAACTTTTGTTGTCAAGGTTCATATAAGACCTACATTTGGAATTCCTGGAAAATTACTCACATTAATTCTTTGAATGTTTCTTTCTTCCTGGAATTATATTTTTTGACCATCAACTTTATGCAATACTCTAGAAAGATAGTAATAGCATTCTCACATTCTCAGCACTACATTTTCTTCTCTATTATTTGTCAAGTATTAAAGGCCCCAGAGGGGTCACCAGGATGAAAACTGAGGATTTGTCATCATAAAATTCCAGATTAAAATTCTAGTTCTGAAATATTTTGCTGTGAGGACAAATTTCTTAAGCTGTCATAGCCACACTTTCCTCACGTATAAAATACAGCTGAGAACAGAGGCTAAATGAGTATTAAGTATCTTTACCTCAGACCATTTAAAATGAAGCTAACTTGTAAAAGTCTGAGCAACAAGGATTAGAGGAAGTACAATGAAATGCATAACAATGAAGCACATAACTTGTGTCATGAGAGATCCTGTGAAAATGTCCTTTAGAAACAGTGACCAATGTATACAGGTTAACTTGTAATGTCTTTAATGTAAAAGAAAAACAAACAAATGCCATTGCTTTTACTATCAATACAACCTCTGGGGTGGGTGGTGGAGTGGGTATGGTTGCTGAATCTTCTCTCTGCCTATAAATATTAATACCACTTGTATGTGTGAACATTTATGTGTGTGATGTGGTTGTATGTAGATGCAGGTGTGGAGGTGAATTGCTTCTAGGCTTGGGTTTAAACCTCAGGCCCACACAGTGGTCTAGACCACTTCTGTGATCTAGACCCTTAATTTTTGTTTCCTCATATTTGAAAGAGGACAATAACAATTTATCTCTAAATGTCACTGAATTAGTATGAAAATCTTGAGATAATTAAAGTGATAATTAAACTGCAAAGTATCATAAAACATAAAGCACTGTTATACAAGCTTTGTATATCTGCACTCAGAAAGAAAATGCCTTCAATGCTCTACCATTTGCTTTCTTTTTGAAATTATAAAATAAAGCACAAAGAAAACCTCATGAAATAAATGTATAATTTAATGCATTGTTGTAAAATCAACATCCTGGTGAACACCATCCAGATCAATAAATAGAACTTTGCCAGCCACCGAGAAGCTTCTGTATGTGCACCATTCAATCATAAGCCCCTTTTGGTCTCTCCAAAGTAGCCACTACTCTAATTTTTATAGCAATTATTTCCTTGCATTTCTTTATAGTTTTATCACCCAAGTAGGCATCCCTAGGAACAATAGTTGGGTCTTACCCCTTTTTTTTAAGGCAATGTCTTCTAAGTTGCTATTCATCTACCAGTTCCCTTCTCTATTCCATTTTGTCTTCCACTTCTCTTAAAAAATACCAATAATTCACATTGGAAGTCTTCCACAATCTGAATTTTATTGATTGATGTTTCTTAGTGAAGTCAGCATAGTTCCTCTGTCCTCTGTGTTCCTTGCAAATTGTTGGCTGAATCCAGATGCTTGATCAGAATGTTTATCATTTTGACAAGACTATGGTTAGTTTTGGGTTTATTCATCAGTGTCTGGTGTTCTCTCTTTCTGGGTGTTATTGGCTGTTGATGCTCAATGCCTAAATCTATTAATTTATAAGAGACTGCAAAACAGTACTTTTAAAATTCTGTCCTTTCTTTTTCACATATTAATGGAAAGAATTTGGTAGAGATAGTCATCCTCATATACTGTTTGTTCACTCAGTGATATTGTTTATATAGGTAAGTCAAGATAATTAATTGATTGTTTTCCTTTTATTTCCCCTGGTTTTAAAATAATGAATTATTATTATATCCTTTTGAAACTCAAGTTATTCCATGGAAATTTCTAAATCTTTTTCACATGACCTTAGTGTTCTTTGATAATTCTAGATTCACCCTCTTCATGCTAAGAACTTGCGATTTTCTTTCTAGGCCTTTTCAGTGTACGGGGCTGTTATTTTTAAACGTACGTATATAAAAATGTCTCATTACTTTATTCTGATACAATTCAACTTCAGGACAGAGTCTTTATTTAACTTCATCTGAAGTGTACCTATTTCTTCATTCTTTCACAAGTGTCCTTGTTTCTCAAAGACACAGAGGATGGTACAATTAAAATACTTTATAAAACCAGATAGTTTTATTTCACATTATACACACAACATTCTCAGAATAACAATTCTCCTTATGATTACTGGAATAGGTCACAGTTTTCCATATTGTTTCTCCAGTCATCTTCTATGTTATTTAGAATAGTTGTACTATATTTACATTGGCAGAACATGTAGCTATTAAAATACTCTCCCTTTTAAATTAAACTCTCATTTAATTTTAGTTCTCCAAGTAAATATTTATTCAAAGGTACATTTTCTTTCTTTCATTATCATTAAATATATTATTCTATTTCTTTAGTGCATAAAGTGTTGCTGCCAAAAGTCTGATGAAAATCTATTTTTTCTTTATAAACCATCAGCTATTTTTTTTCTTTCCTTTAAAGTCCAGTACTTTACTAGAATATGCATTGATATTGATTATTCTGGGTCAGTATTCTCAGATAATCTCAGATGTATGAAACAATGTGGATCTTTCAATTTGTAGTCATATTTTTTTCAGGGATTACATTTTGTTGTGCATTTGTTCTGTTCCCTTGTTTCTCCTTCCCCAACTCCCCTTTTATCCTTTTGTTGGATCTTTTTTATCAATCTCCATAATTTGTCATTGTCTTAAATACCTTTTTATCTCTTCATTTATTTCCAATGTTTAAAAAAGTATTTGCTTTCACTTTCTATTTCTCTTAAAACATTATCTGTTATGGTTTTCTTTTGCATTTTCTCTAATTTTTTATTCATTTCTATTTTTTTATTTCTAATTCATTTCTAAACTCTTTTACCTCATTTCTAGTTATTCTAATTTATGTTTTTTAATGTCTTATAACCATTCCTTATGTGTATAGTTAAACTTATGTACAGGTTGTTTTGTGGCCATATCTTTCTGCCATAATTCCTTTGCCGGTAGGGATATTACTTTACTTCTTATCATCTTTTTTCTTTTAGCAATCGGTGTGCTATTTAATCTCAACACCTTTCTGTTGCTGATTATTTTGCTAGGAGATACATATTTAACATAACTCTTCTATTGTTTTTTGGTTGTTTTTTTTTTTTTTTTTTTTTTTTTGAGATGGAGTCTTGCCATGTTGCCCAGGCTGGAGTGCAGTAGGGTGATCTTGGCTCACTGTAACCTCTGCCTTCTGGGTTCAAGGGATTCTCCTGCCTCAGCCTCCCGAGTAGCTGGGACTACAGGCGCATGCCACCATGCCAGGCTAATTTTTTGTATTGTTAGTAGAGACAGGGTTTCACCATGATAGCCAGGATGGTCTCCATCTCCTGACCTCATGATCCACCCACCTCGGCTTCCCAAAGTGCTGAGATTACAGGTGTGAGCCACTGTGCCCAGCCCCTCTTCTATTGTTTTTGTGAAATGCACAAACATATGATGACTTGCTTTCTAATATTTACTGTCTCTTTATCCTTCGTTTTATCTATAATTTATCTTTTATTCATCTATTTTGCTTACATTCTACTCAACTTTGCTTCCATCCTAGCAGTTTCTCATCAGTGTGGGGCTTTCCTGTAAAAGAAATTTAGCCGGTTGGTTTTCAAAGTTTATGTGGTCCCCACTGGTCCAACCCTTTAAGAAATTACTGACTATTCTGTGGTGGGCAGAATTCTAAAGATTACTCACAAGATTTCTGTTGCCTGGTTATTCAATCAGACACTAATCTAAGTACTCTCGTGAAGGAACTTTACAGGTGTCATTAAGGTTACTAATCAGCTGACCTTAAAATCAGGAGATGGTCCTGGATTATCAAAGTAAGCCAAAATCTAAACACATAAGCCCTGAAAAAAAAAAGGAAATGTCTCAAAGTTGAGCCAAAAGATGCCACAGAAAGAAATTCAGATATATTTGAATTATAAGAGGGACTTGACCTAACACTGCTGTCTTTGAAGATGGAGGAAGAGAGACACAAGTCAAGGATGTCAGCATCTTCTAGAAGCTGAGAATGATTATGGGCCAGTAGTCAATGAGGAAATGGGGACCTCATTTTAACAACCACATGAAATTCTGTTGACAAACTGAATAAGATTATAAATAAATCCATCCTCAGAGCCTCTAGAAAGGAATTCAGCCCAGCTGACACCTTGATTTCAGCCTTGTGGGCCCTGGAGCAGAGAAAGCTTCCAAGCTTATAGGACTTCTCACCTACAGGACTGTGAGATAATAAATTTGTGTTTTTTTAAGCCACTAAGTTTGTGATAAATTATAGCCGCAATAGAAAACTCTGTAGAGCTCTTGTATTCAGATACTTATTTAAGCTGCTGTTCTCAAGTTGGCTCATTTTCCTCTAAAATGAATACTATTGGCTATTTGGAGTTTCTTAAATTCATGTTCATTGAATGTTCTGTTACCTCTTTATGTTTCTTTTTATATAGATGCTGATAAAATCCTGGTCTTTTAGCTGTAGAATTTATCCTCTGCAGTTTGTATTTTGTGGTCTGTAGGGCTGTCATGTAAATTAGTGTTGCTGTTCATGTTATCCACAGGTTTTCAATTTGTATTCAGTTGTTCTATTTTTATATAAGGATTCAGAAGGATTACAAATTTGCTGCTGCCATCTTGCCAGAGTCTCTCTGGTCTTAATGTTCTTGTTAGTCTATGACTCTTACCCAAACTTGATCTTCTTTTATAAACATACTGTAATTATCTCATCTGACCTGTGCCTGCCGGTGATAGCTTACCTTATTTCTCTCAGTACTTTTGAACTCCATTGCCTCATATACTATGTGGGTGTATGTCTATTAATTTGCTACTTTGAAAATGGGATTTGATTGTTTCCTGCTGAGTGATACTTAGTGTTCTTATGCTGTGGACAATGACTGCATTTACTGTATTTTGGTCACTTAAAATGGTGCACAGCATCTAGCAGGTATTTTATACATCAGGTTAGACCTATGTGTCTAATGCAATCATGATTCTTCAATGAGGAAATCCAAGAGAATCCCAAGAAAATCAACTAAGAAACTGTTAAAACCATGAAAACATTTCGTAATAGTCAATGGAGAAAAAGAAAAATATACAAAAAGATCTATGGATTTCTTAAATGCCAGAAATAGTTAAGAAACTATAATAAAAATAATCTATTAGTAATAGCAATAAAAACATAAACAACAATATAATATACTCACCAAGAAAGTGTTACCTATATACAAATCCTCACTGAGAGCCAAAAAAATTTAGCACATGAAGATATATATACACACAATGTTCTTAAATGTGATTTTTCAGAAATAATATCATATAAGTATTAGAGTAAAATTTAAGTGACTGTGTTAGGATTCTCCAGAGTTACAGAACGAATAAGGTAAATAGATAATGATATATGAGAGATTTTTTATTAGAGGAACTGGTTCATGTGATTATGGAGGTTGAGAAGTCCCATGATAGATCAGGTGCAATTTGAAGAACCGGGGAAATCAGTAGCATGGCTGTCCAAGTTTGAAAGCCTCAGAACCAGGGAAACTGATGTTGTAACTCCCAGCCCCAGGGCCTGAGAGTCAGGAGAAGGGAGTGGGTGGTGGTGGAGTGGTGTCACTGGTGCAGGTTCCAGAGTCCAAAGGATGGAAAACCTGGATTTTTAATGTCTGAGGGCAGGAGAAAAAATGTGTCCCAGCTCCAGGAGAGAGAGAGAACAAATTCGTCTTTCCTCTGCTTTTTGTTCTACACTACCCTACCCTTTTTGTTCTACCCTGTAATCCAGTCAAGTTGACACCTAAATTTAACTAGCACAGTGAATATGCATATTGTAGTAAGAAAAACCTCTTCAAGCATACTATTAAAAACAGAAATTATGGCCAGGTGCAGTGACTTATGCCTGTAATCCCAGAGCTTTAAGAGAATAGGGAGGGAGGATCCCTTGAAGTCAAGAATTTGAGACCAGCCTGGACAACATAAAAAGACTCTATCTCTACAAAAAAAAAAGTTAACAAAAATGAGCCAGGCACTTGGCACACACCTGTAGTTCCAACTAGTTGGGAGGCTGAGGCCAGAGGCTGTCTGGGAAGCTTGAGCCCAGGAGCTTAAGGTTGCAGTGAATGAGACCCTGTCTCAAAAAAAAAAAAAAAAAGGGAACAGAAATTATAAAGAAAAGATAGAAAGATTTGATTCTCTGTCTCTCTCTCACTGAAGTTTAATGTACTTTGTTGGTTACAGTATAAGATAATTATCTTGTTTAGCAAAAATATGTTTAAATGGCTTGTTAATTAAAGTGTACATAACCCAAACTCCAGTAATTTGCCCTAAAATCATCATGAATTGAAGAAAATATTTCATTCTAAACATATTAATTACAGTATAATTCATAATTTAACAAATTGGAAATATAAAAAATTGAAAAACATAAATTTTCTAAAATTTATTAAACTAAATTAATTATGCTTCACCCAACCTAGGGCATATAAGTACCAATTTAAAATACTGTTAGTTTTGTGTGTCAGGGGTGTGTGTGCATTGACTAGAAAGATGTTTATAGTAATATAGCAAAACAGCTTACAGAAAGTATATAAATTTATTTGTGATTTTTTAAGAAAAAAAAAATAATCCTGAGTACTTTTCTGAAAACAAGGCTCCCAGACTTTTCCACCATTTAATTACATTTAACCATCTTAGCAATATATTCATGACACAAGGACGTCCTCTTTAGTATTCTTTTTTTTTTTTTAATTTTACTTTAAGTTCTGGGATACAAGTGCAGAACATACAGGTTTGTTACATAGGTATACATGTGTCGTGGTTTGCTGCACCTATCAACCTGTTATCTAGGTTTTAAGTCCCACATGCATTAGCTATTTGTCCTAAGGCTCTCCTTTCCCTTGCCCCCCACCCGCTGACTGGCCCCAGTATGTGTTGTTCCCCTCCCTGTGTCCATGTGTTCTCATTGTTCAACTCTCACTTGAGTGAGAACATATGGTGTTTGGTTTTCTGTTACTGTGTTAGTTTGCTGAGGATGATGGCTTCCAGCTTCATCCATGTCCCTGCAAAGGACACGATCTCATTCATTTTTGTGGCTGCATAGTATTCCACGGTGTATATGTATCACATTTTCATTATCCAATCTATCATTGATAGGCATTTGGGTTGGTTCCATGCCTTTGCTCTTATAAATAGTGTTGCAATAAACATATGTGTGCATGTGTCTTTATAGTAGTTGATTTATATTCCTTTGGGTATTCACCCAGTAATGGGATTGCTGGATCAAATGGTATTTCTGGTTCTAGATCCTTGAGGAATAACCACACTGTCTTCCATGATAGTTGAATTAATTTACATTTCCACCAACAGTGTAAAAGTGTTTCCATTTCTCCACAGCCTTACCAGCATCTATTGTTTCTTGACTCTTTAATAATCACCATTCTGACTGGTGTGAGATGGTATATCATTGTGGTTTTGATTTTCACTTCGCTAATGATCAGTGATGTTGAGCTTTTTTCATGTTTGTTGGTCACATAAATGTCTTCTTTTGAGAAGTGTCTGTTCATATACTTTGCCTGCTTTTTGATGGTTTTTTTTTCTTGTAAATTTGTTTAAGTTTCTTGTAGATTATGGATATTAGACCTTTGTCAGAAAGGTAGATTGCAAAATTTTTTTCCCATTTCTATGGGCTGCCTGTTCACTCTGATGATAGTTTCTTTTGCTGTGCAGAAGCTGTTTAGTTTAATCAGATACCATTTGTCAATTTTAGCTTTTGTTGCTTTTGGCGTTTTCATCATGAAGTATTTGCCCATGCCTATGTCCTGAATGGTATTGCCTAGTTTTTCTTCTAGGGTTTTTATGGTTTTGGGTTTTGCATATAAGTCTTTAATCCATCTTGAGTTAATTTTGTATAAGCTGTAAGGAAGGAATCCAGTTTCAGTTTTCTGCATATGGCTAGCCAGTTTTTCCAGCACCATTTATCAATTAAGGAATCCTTTCCCCATTGCTTGTTTTTGTCAGGTTTGTCAAAGATCAGATGGTTGTAGATGTGTGGTGTTATTTCTGAGGTCTCTGTTCAGTTCCATTGGTCTGTGCGTCTGTTTTGGTACCAGTACTATGCTGTTTTGGTTACTGTATCCTTGTAGTATAGTTTGAAGTCAGGTAGCAAGATGCCTCTAGCTTTGTTCTTTTTGCTTAGGATTGTCTTGGCTATACGGGATCTTTTTTGTGCCATATAAAATTTAAAGTAGTTTTTTTCTAATTCTGTAAAGAATGTCAATGGTGGTTTGAGGGGAATAACATTGAATCTATTAATTACTTTGGGCAGTATGTCCATTTTCTTTTTTTTTTTTTTTTTTTTTTGAGACGGAGTCTCGCTCTGTCGCCCAGGCTGGAGTGCAGTGGCGGGATCTCGGCTCACTGCAAGCTCCGCCTCCCGGGTTCACGCCATTCTCCTGCCTCAGCCTCCCAAGTAGCTGGGACTACAGGCGCCCGCCACTACACCCGGCTAATTTTTTGTATTTTTTAGTAGAGACGGGGTTTCACCGTTTTAGCCGGGATGGTCTCGATCTCCTGACCTCGTGATCCGCCCGCCTCGGCCTCCCAAAGTGCTGGGATTACAGGCGTGAGCCACCGCACCCGGCCAGTATGTCCATTTTCATGACATTGATTCTTCCGATCCATGAAGTTGGAATGTTTTTTCATTTGTTTGTGTTGTCTCTTATTTTCTCAAGCAGTGGTTTGTAGTTCTCCTTGAAGCAGTTCTTCATGTCCCTTGGAAGTTGTATTCCTAGGTATTTCATTCTCTTTGCAGCAATTGTGGATGGGAGTTCATTCATGATTTGGTTCTCTGTTTGTCTATTGTTGGTGTATAAGAATGCTTGTGATTTTTGCACATTGATTTTGTATCCTGAGATTTTGCTAAAGTTGCTTATCAGTTTAAGGAGTTTGGGGGCTGCGACAATGGGGTTTTCTAAATATAGACTCATGTCGTCTGCAAACAGAAACAATTTTATTTCTTCTCTTCCTATATGAATACCTTTTATTTATTTCTTTTGCCTGATTGCCCTGGCCAGAACTTCCAATAATATGTTGACCATGAGTTGTGAGAGAGGGCACCCTTGTCTTGTGGTGATTTTCAAAGGAAATGCTTCCAGCTTTTGCCCATTTATATGATATTGGCTGTGAGTTTTTCATAAATAGCTCTTATTATTTTGAGATATGTTCCATCAGTATGTAGTTTATTGAGAGTTTTTAACATGAAGAGATGCTGAATTTTATCAAAGGTCTTTTCTGCATCTATAGAGATAATTATGGTTTTTTGTCATTGATTATGTGATGGATTACATTTATTGATTGTGTATGTTGAACCAGCCTTGCATCCCAGGGATGAAACTGACTTGATTGTGGTGAATAAGTTTTTGAATGTGCTGCTGAATTAGGTTTGCCAGTATTTTATTGAGGATTTTCACATGGATGTTCATCAGAGATATTGGCCTGAAGTTTCTTTTATTGTTGTGTCTCTGCCAGGATTTGGTATCAGGATGATGCTGGCCTTATAAAATGAGAGGAAGAAGTCCCTCCTTTTCAATTGTTTGGAGTAGTTTCAGAAGGAATGGTACCAGATCCTCTTTGTACCTTTGGATACCTCTGGTGGAATTCGGCTGTTAATCCATCTGGTCCTCGGCTTTTTATAGTTGGTAGGCTATCAATTACTACCTCAATATGAAAACTTGTTATTGATCTATTCAGGGATTCAACTTCTTTCTGATTAAGTCTTGGGAGGGTGTATGTGTCCAGAAATTTATCCATTTTTTTTCCAGGTTTTCTAGTTTATTTGCCTAGAGGTGTTTATAGTATTCCTTGATGGTAGTTTGTAATTTTGTGGCGTCAGTGGTGATATCCCTTTCATCATTTTTTATTTTGTCTATTTAATTCTTCTCTATTTTCTTTTCTATTAGTCTAGCTAGCGGTCTATGTATTTTGTTAATTTTTCTGAAAAAAACAGCTCCTGAATTCGTTAATTTTTTGAAGGGTTTTTTGTGTCTCTCTCTTTCAGTTCTGCTTGGATCTTAGTTATTTCTTGTCTTCTGCGAGCTTTTGAATTTGTTTGCTCTTGCTTCTCTAGCTCCTTTAATTGCGACGTTAAGGTGTCGATTTTAGAACTTTCTAGCTTTCTGATGTGGCCATTTACTGCCATAAATTTCCCTCTTAACACTGCTTTAGCTGCATCCCAGAGATTCTGGTATGTTGTCTCTTTGCTCTCATTGGTTTCAAAGAACTTCTTGATTTCTTCTTAATTTCATTATTTACTCAGGAGTCATTCAGAAGCAGGTTGTTCAGTTTCCATGTAGTTGTGTGGTTTTGAGTTAGTTTCTTAATCCTGAGTTCCAATTTGACTGCACTGTGTTCTGAGAGACTGTTTGTTATGATTTCCGCTCTTTCGCATTTGCTAAGGAGTATTTTACTTCCAATTATGTGGTAAATTTTAGAATAAATGCCATGTGGCACTGAGAAAAATGTATATTCTGTTGATTTGGGATGAAGAGTTCTGTAGATGTCTATTAGGACCATTTGATCCAGGGCTGAATTCAAGTCCTGAATATTCTTGTTAATTTTCTGTCTCAATGATCTGTCTAATACTGACAATGGGGTGTTAAAGTCTCCCACTATTATTCTGTGGGAGTCTAAGTTTCTTTGTAGGTCTCTAAGAACTTGTTTTTTGAATCTGGGTCCTCCTGTTTTGGGTGCATATATATTTAGGATAGTTAGCTCTTCTTTACCATTATGTATTGCCTTTCTTTGTCTTGTTTGATCTTTGTTGGTTTAAAGACTGTTTTGTCAGAGACTAGGATTGCAAACCCTGCTTTTTTTTTTCTTTCCATTTTCTTGGTAAATTTTCCTCTATCCCTTTATTTTGAGCTTATGTGCGTCTTTGCATGTGAGATGGGTCTGCTGAATATAACACAACAATGGGTCTTGACTCTTTATACAATTTGCCAGTTTGTGTCTTTTAACTGGGAGCATTTAGCCCATTTACATTGAAGGTTAACATAGTTATGTTTGAATTTCATACTGTCATCATGATGCTATCTGGTTATTTTGCATACTAGTTGATACAAGTTCTTCATAGTGTCACTGGTCTTTATATTTTGGTGTGTTTTTGCAGTGGCTGGTACTGGTTTTTCCTTTCCACATTTAGTGCTTCCTTCAGGAGCTCTTGCAAGGCAGGCCTCGTGGTGACAAAATCCCTCAGCATTTGCTTGTCTGGAAAGGATTTTATTTCTCCTTTGCTTATAAAGCTTAGTTGACTGGATATGAAATTCTGGGTCGAAAATTCTTTTTCTTTAAGAATGTCGAATATTGCCACCCCGCCCTCTGGCTTCTAGGGTTTCTGCTGAGAGGTCTGCTGTTAGTCCAATAGGCTTCCCTTTGTAGGTGACTTGGCCTTTCTCTTTGGCTACCCTTAACGTTTTTTCCTTTATTTTGACCTTGGAGAATCTGATGATTATGTGTCTTGGGGTTGATCTTCTCTTGGAGTGTCTTAGCAGTGTTCTCTGTATTTCCTAAATTTGAATGTTGGCCTGTCTTGCTAGGTTGGGGAAGTTCTCCTGAATAATATCCTGAAGTGTGTTTTCCAACTTGGTTTCATTCTCCTGTCTCTTTCCGGTACTCCAATCAATCATAGGTTCAGTCTTTTTACATAGCCCCATATTTCTTGGAGGTTTTTTTCATTCCTTTTTGTTCTTTTTTTCTCTAATTTTGTCTGTATGCTTTATTTCAGCAGGATACTCTTCAAACTCTGATACCCTTTCTTCCCCTTGGTCAATTCGGCTATTGATACTTGTGTATGCTTCATGATGTTCTTGTGCTGTGTTTTTCAATTCCATGAGGTCATTTATGTTCCTCTTTAAAATGGCTATTCTAGTTAGCAGCTCCTATAACCTTTTATCAAGATTCTTCGCTTCTTTTCATTGGGTTAGAATATGCTCCTTTAGCTCAGCGGAGTTTGTTATTATCCACCTTCTGAAGCCTACTTCTGTCAATTCGCCCATCTCATCCTCTCCAGTTCACACTTGCAGGAAAGGCGTTGCAGACATTTGGAGGAAAAGAGGCACTCTGGCCTTTTGGGTTTTCAACGTTTTTTTCATTGATGCTTTCTCTTCTTCATGAGTTTGTCTAGTTTTGATCTTTGAGGCTGCTGAGCCTTGGATGGGGTTTTTATGGAGGCTTGTTGTTGTTGTTGTTGTTGTTGATGCTATTTTTGTTGCTTTCTGTTTGTTTTTCTTTCAGTTATCAGGTCCCTCTTCTATACGGCTGCAGCAGATTGCTGTGGGTTCACTTCAGGCCTTATTCATCTGGTTCACTCCAGCATCTGGAGATGTCACTCAAAGAGGCTGGAGAACAGCAAAGATTGGTGCCTACTCCTTCCTCTGGGATCTCTGACCCTGAGGGGCACTGACCTGGTGCCAGTAGGTATGCTCCTGAATAGGGTGTCTGACAACCCCTTTCGGAGTGTCTCACCCAGTTGGGTAGCACAGGGAGCAGGACCCATTTAACAAAGCACTTTGACTGTCCCTTGGTGGAGGAGGTGTGCTTCGCTGGGGGAAAACCCACTTGCTTGAGCTGCCCAGATTCCTCAGAACTAGCAAGAGGACAGACTAAGTCTGCTGGTCCTTGGATACTATGGCTACCCCTCCTGCTAGAGGCTCAGGCTCAGGGAGATCAGAGTTCTGTCTCTGAGCTCCTGGCAGGAGTTGTTGGAGCTACTGCAGGGAGGCCTTGCCCAGTGAGGAGTGATGGGTCAGGGTCAGGCCTGAAGAGGGGCTCTGGCCACAGTCTGCCACAACTGGTGTGTTGGGCTGTGGGGGATACCGCTTGGAATTTCTTGGCTTCAGCAGGGGAAAAGCATGGCCTGGAACTATAGGGATGGCAGCTGCCCCTCCCCCTCCCTAGGAGCTTAGTGTTAGGCAGCTATCAGTCCCAGTGCTGGCTGCTGTCCCTCCCACAAGGAGCTCAAATGGCTTAGATGGCAGGAGGCAGCAGTAGCTATGGTGCTGGCTACCCCTCCCCAACGGGAGCTTAGCAGACTCTAGCTGATTCTAGATTCTAGCTGAGTGGCTTTTGAGAATCTGCACCACTCCATGGTTGGGGCCCTAGGCCCCGGTGGCATGGGCTTACAAGTGGGATCTTCCGATCCATGGATTGCACACTTTCGAGAAAAAAGCAGTTTCCCAGTCTGGGTAGCATCCTCATTCACTGCCTCCTTTGACTGGGGGTTGGGGTCTCCCCTGCCCTGTGTGGCTGTCAGGTGAGCCGCCACACCACACTGTTCTTCCTTCCTCTCCGTGAGCCATGCCAGGCGTGTAGTCACTTCTGATGACAGAACCTGGATATGTTGGTTGCTGGTGCTGGATTTGGGCTGTTACGGTTCTTTTCGTGGGAGCCTCCGATTGCTGCTGCTTTTAGTCAGCCATTTTGGCCCCGCCCCCTTTGGAATTCTTGATATTTGTTTACATCATCTACTGGAAAAGCTGTTATTTGTATTTCTACTTCTCTTCCTATAGAAGGAGGTTGCTGTTTATACCTTTCTGTTAAAAGAAACTTTTCTAATTCGAAGTAATTGTTTAGTTACAGTGATAATATACTTAAAATGGCCAATAGACTTATGAATATCCAGTCATAAGTTACTAAGTAGAACAAAATTTTGGATCAAATAATTTAAAAAATACTTCAAAAGAAAAATAGTGAATTACTCAATTGTTGAGGTTAATATCTGGCTACATTATTTGAATCAGGTAGTTTGAAATTTATATATAATAAATATATAAAATTAATTGCATAAATGTATAGATAAAAAAATTAACAAACTTATTACTGCAATTCACGTGAATATAAAACCTTGCCCTTAGATGACTAGCAAATGGAATAGATACTACAACCCGTGTTCTCAAATTCAGTCTCAAATTTTACTCTATCCAACTGACAATATTAAAGAAGAATTTGAATCTTGCATAAATATTCATTTCATGTCAACAAACATTGAGGCAAAGAAAGAAAAAAAATTGAGTCGCTCCTCAATAATAAATAGAAATATATTTTAACAGTAGGGGTTAAATTTTGTCATTGTGTGGATGTTTTTTATCTGATATTTAGACAACGGTTACAACTTTCTATTTGCATAGATGTGTTAACAGGTACTTGAACAACCTTTGAAAGGAATTATACATATTATTTTTAGTCAGCAGAATTTTCAAAACAATATAGCTATTTAAACATTTAAATAAATAATTTTGCAATAAATAGGAAAATTTTGTGTCTTTTCTTAGCATTTTTTTAAAGTTCAATTTAAACTACATTTAAAAAATTAAAAGTCAACATATAAATTAATCTTTATACTTCAAGATATGAGTTGTGACCATTTAGTGGACTAAAAACAGGGTATTTGCAGAAAAGAGAAAAACACATGGATATTAAATATACAGGTGGATACATTTTTACATATGTATCCTCTTCCATGATACCACCACTAAGGCCAAAATATAGAACATTTCCAGCACCTCAGAAAGCTCTCTTATGTCCGTTACTGTCTACAACATACTAGCCATAAACCAGTATTCTGATTTCTACTGCCATATATAAGATCTGGCTGATCTTGAACTTCAGACAAATGTAATCGTTCAGTGTGTATTCTTCTATGTCTAACTTCTTTTACTTAATATTATCTCTGTGATATTTATACACACTACTACATTGTAGCAGCAACATACTCTAATTACTGTGTGGGATTCCAGTGTATCTCACACAGCAATTAGGGTATGCCAAATCAATGGTTTATCACCATTCATTTCCTCATTCTACTCTTGATGAACACTTGGATTATTTCCAATGGAGGCTTTTATGAATAAAGTGCACATGAACATTCTTAAATAGATCTTTTAAATGGACACATGTGGCCGGGCGCAGTGGCTCAAGCCTATAATCCCAATACTTTGGGAGGCCGAGGCGGGCGGATCACAAGGTCAGGAGATCGAGACCATCCTAGCTAACACGGTGAAACCCCGTCTCTACTAAAAATACAAAAAAATTAGCCGGGCGTGGTGGCAGGCGCCTGTAGTCCCAGCTACTCCGGAGGCTGAGGCAGGAGAATGGCGCAAACCTGGGAGGCGGAGCTTGTAGTGAGCTGAGATCGTGCCACTGCACTCCAGCCTGGGCGACAGAGCGAGACTCTGTCTCAAATAAATAAATAAATAAGTAAGTAAATGAACACAAGCACTTTTTTTTTAGTTATATACGTAAGAGTGGAATTGTCATTTCATAGGGTATAACTATGCTTAGTTTTAGTAGATACTACCATAAATAATTACCCAACATGCTTTTACCAACTTACACTTCCACAAGCAGTAGCGTTAGAGTTCTGGTTGCTTCACTTTGTCACTAACACTTGGTATTGTCAGTCTTTTTTATTTTAGTAATTCTGTTGGATATATGAAAGTGCCTCATTGTGGTTTAAATTGCATTTCCATGATGAGTTATGATGGGTAGCACTTTTATGTTTTGGGGCATTAGATATCCTTTTTTGTGAAGTACCTGTTCAAATCTTATGTCTATTTGTTATTGTGTTTTTTGTAACTCTAAAACTTGATTTATAGAAGTTTTTTGAAATTCCGGGTATAGGTGATTGGCCAGATAATATATTGTAAGCATTCTTTCCCATTATTTTGTCTTTTCGCCCTCTTAATAGTGACTTAATAAACAATAATTCACAATTTTAATGGTCTAAATTAATAATATTTTATCTTTTTGGTTTTATTTAAAACATCTTTCCCTACATTAAAATATTTTTCTATTTTTGTATAGTTTTAATATTTTACCTTTCCCACTTAGATTCATGATCTATCTCGAAATAATTTTTGTATACAATAGAAGGTAGGTGTTTTGTTCCCCTTCCCTGCCGTGGAAAAGACTATCTTTCTTCACTAAATTGCACTGATACCTTTGTTGTAAATCAGGTGACCATATAGGCATGATCTGTTTCTGGAATCTCTACTATCTTTTATTGGTTCAGTTTCAGTCCTTGTGCCAATATTACACTGTGATAGTTACTGTAAATTTGTAAAATCCACCAGTTAGTTCTTCTTTTTCAAGATTTTTCATGCCTTACTTAGGTCCTTTGCATTTCTATGTACATTTCAGCATCAGCTTTTTAGTTTCCAAATACACACACACACACACACACACAAATGCTTGCTGGTAATTTTGATTGTAATTTTGTTGATTATGTTGATCAATTTTGAGAGGATTAGTTTTTTTCCTCTCAGCAATTTAGTTTTAAGCATAGAAATTTTTAATGTCTTATTAGACCTATTCCATGAGTTAAATATTTTATTGCTGTTACCATGTATTATAAATGGTAATTTTTGTACATTTCATTTCTAGCTGTTTATTACTTTTATATAAAACATATATGTAAATTTTATATTGAGTTTGTATCCAGTGACTGTGCCAAATTCACTACAATTTTATAGATTTATTTTTGATTTTCCACATAAAATTCTGTTACCTGTAAATCATGAAAGTTTTCTTTTTCCTTTTTAGTCTTTATAACTTGATTTCTTGATGCCTTTATGCATTGGCTATAAGTATGGTGGTTAGTAGAAGAGATGGTAGTCGACATTCTTGTCTTGATCTTGCATTCAGAAGAAAAGTTTTCAATACATCATCATTATGTTGAGTGTAAGCCTTTTCATAACTATATTTTAACAGATGAAGGGCATTCCTACTGGCTGACAATTGATTTTATCATTAGTGAGGGTTGTTTTATCAAATGCTTTTCAGCATTTATATAAATTGTCATATGGATTTTTGGAGAGGATTCTGTTAATGTGGTAAATTGCATCAGTTGATTTTGAAAGCTAAACCAACCTTGATTCCTAGAAAACAGTCCATTTGGTCAACATAAGTTATCCTTTTAATAAATTACTGAATTAATGTATTACTTTATTTAGTATTTTTGCATTTGTGTTCATGAGGATTATTACCCAGTGATTTTCCTTTTCTTATGATGTTTTACTAGGCTTTAGTTTTAAGGTCATGCTGGTCTTATGAGGTAAAAAACATTTCTCCTTTTTTGATTCTCTGAAAAAACACTGTTTAAGATTGATGATTTATTTTTTTATTTTTAATTTTTTGAGATACATAATAGGTGTGTGTATTTATGGTGTATATATATGTTTATGGTATAAATACAGTAGGTGTACATATATATTTATGGGGTACATAATGTATTTTGATACAGGCATGGAATGTGCATTAATCATATCAGAATAAATGATCCCATCACCACAAGTATTTATCCTTTCTTTCTGTTACAGACAATCCAATTATACTCTTATAGTTATTTTTAAATGTACAATACATTATTGTTGACTGTTGTCACACTGTTGTGCTATCAAATCTAGATTTTATTCATCTTATCTAACCATATTTTTGTGCCCATTAACCATCTCCACTTCCTCTTCTCCACTCCACTACCCTTCCCAGCCTCTGATATAACCATCAAGAAATTCTTGTCTTGTTCTGGTTCCTAAGGGGAATAGTTCCAGGTTTTGCCTATTTGGTATGATGTTGGCTGTGAGTTTGTCATAGATGGCTCTTATTATTTTAAAGTATTTTCCTTCAATGCCTAGTTTTTTCAGGGTTTTTAACATGAAGTGGTGTTAAATTTTATTGAAAGCCTTTTCTGCATCTATTGAGATAATCATGTGGTTTTTAATTTTAGTTCTGTTTATGTGGTGAATCACATTTACAGATTTGTATATGTTGATCCAACCTTGCATCCCAAGGATAAAGCCTACTTGATCATGGTAGATTAGCTTTTTAATTATTTGCTAGTATTTTGACTATTTGCTAGTATTTTGTTGAGGATTTTTGCATCTATGTTTCCCCTGCCCTGCTGTCCGAGTGATCTTTTTAACATCTCTAAAGTCTTTACTAGTGTCCTAAAGTTTATTCCTCATATTGATAATTTGTCTTTTTCTCTTTTATATTCTAGATCATTTTTATTGAGTTTATTTATTAATCTTTTCAAAAACCCACCTTTGGTTTTGGAGATTATCTCTATTACCTATTAGTTTTCTATTTCATTGACATTTATTCTTTTACTTATTATTTTCTTTCTTCTATGTTCTTTTATTTACTTTGAAATTCTCTCTCTAGCTTTTTAAGATGTAAGCTTATATCACTAACCTGAAACCATTCTTATTTTTATGTAAATTTAGATCTGTAAACTTCATAGCGAACATTGCTTTGTCTGCATATCATGTGTCCACATGTCCTGTTTTTATTGGCTTTCAGTTCAAAATATTTTTTATTTCCATTGTGATTTCTTGTTTGACCCATGTTTATTTAAAAGTGTATCACTTGGTTTCCATACATTTGCAGAATTTCTAGTTATATTTTTATTATTGATTTTTTTTAGTTTAATTCCACTGTGATTCAATAATATATTGTTTTATTCAAATCTTCTGAAATTGTTGAGATCTGCTTTATGGGCCTATATTTTGGCAAATATCCCATGCCTACTTTAAAAAAAATGTAAAAAATGCAATTGTTTAGTGCAGTGTTCTGAAATATAAATTAAATAAATCAAATCTTAAATATTTGTGCTATATTTTATCTGTTTGTTCCATCAGTCATGAGACACGTTAAAATCTCCAATTATGATTGCTCCATTTTTCTTTATAGTTCTCTCAATTTTTCTTCTTTTTTTAAAAAGCTGTGCTATCTGGTGCACTCACATTTTGGATTGCTATATTTCTCTACTGAATTATTTCAGGATATGATGAACATCCTAACATATTGCAATTATTTTGAATATTAATTAAAATATATTTACACACACTTTCAAAGGCTCTACACTCATTCCTGTATTTTCCCACTTCCTTTGAGTTGAGTAATTTCTTTTTAATATGTTTTGTATCGCCATTTTGCTAACAAAGTCTTTCAGTCTTTATTCGGCTACACACATCTTATTTTGTTTTTATTTTTGAATACTTTCAATGTGCTTACAATTTTAGTTGGCATTTTGTTTTTCTTTCAGTACTTTAAAGATATAATTCCACTGTCTTCTAATTTTCAGTTTTGGCTGAAAAGCCAACTATTCGTTTCATTTTTTCTTCTTTGAAAGTAACATTTCTTCTTTGACCTCCTAGCTGATTTTAGAATTTTCTCTTTACTTTTGGTTTCCATAAGTTTGCCTAAAATAGGCATAATGGAGTTATCTTTGTGTTTATCTGGGTTGGGATTTGCTGACCTTCATAAACCTAGTGGTTCGTGTCTTTCTTTCTTTCTTTTTATTTTTTGAGATGGAGTTTTGCTTTTGTTGCCCTGGCTGGAGTGCAATGGTGCGATCTCCACTAACTGCAATCTCCGCCTCCCGGGTTCAAGTGATTCTCCTGCCTCAGCCTCCTGAGTAGCTGGGATTATAGGCGCCCACCACCACAGCTGGCTAATTTTTGTATTTTTAGTAAAGACGGGGTTTCACCATGTTGTCCAGGCTGGTCTCAAACTCCTGGCCTCAAATGATCCACCTGCCTCGGCCTCCCAAAGTGCTGGGATTACAAGCATGAGCCACCACGCCCAACCTATTTTAAAATAATACTTGGCCATCATCTCTTCAAAAACTGCTTTGATCCTATTCTCTTTTCCTTTCGAGACAGCAATAACATGTTTATTAGACTATTTTACTATGGTGCTAAATTCTCTTACACATATTCCACACCTACAATGATTGGATTAGAAACTGTTGCTCACCTCTCTAGTTGAAACAGAAACTAGGAAGCTATAGTTCTCACACAGTATCATGGAAAAAATTGTGACTTTATAGACTAATTCCTTTTAAAACAGGATGTGGTTTTTTGTTGTTGTTGTTGTTTTTGCAATTTATATGTAGTTTTCCAACTAATTAAGCCAAGATCATTTTAATGAGAAATCAGAGCTAAAATTGATGGATTATGTTTGTGATGACACAAACTAGCAAACATGTAAGAAGCCACATTGGCTTATTCCTCCCTGCTTGAACCCCTGGCTCTGTAACGAATTGCAGCTCTCCAGAAGAATGCCTTGAAGATAAAACAGAATATAGTATATGGTCCCCCATGTTTCTTGCCTGAGTCACTCTATTCCCTAAAACATAATGACCATAGTCCTTGCCTTTTTCTACACATAAAACAATGTCTGACAGGATTAGTGATTATGCCTCTGTAAGATGTGCGCTTATATCCTGATCTTTTTTAGAAATATTATTTCAAATAGCTTTTGGGGTACAAGAGGTTTTGGGTTACATAGATGAATTGTATACTGGTTACACCCCAGTCTTGATGTGGTTCTGCTTTATTGTAACTTCTGAGAAAGCTCAATGTGATTTTGCATGTACTGAACCCCCACCACCTGTATGTAGCAGTGGGCTGAACTACCATGCCAGAGCAGTCTGACGGAACCGCTCCCAGGTCATAGGTTTAATCGCTAGTCCTGAGGAAGTCTTCTGAATAATATTAATTAATTCTTTAAATACAAATTAATGACTTTCTTTTCTTTACGTGTTCCAAATAAATGCCACTCAAATATGAGAAACAATTAACAAGATATAGAGCAATATTTTTCAAACAGCAAGTGATCACCCCAGCATGGTGGCTCACACTTGTAATCCCAGCACTTTGGGAGGCCAATGCAGGCAGATCACCTGAGGTTAGGAGTTCAAGACCAGCCTAGCCAACGTGGTGAAACCCTGTCTGTACAAAAATACAAAAATTAGCTGGGCGTGGTAGTGGGCACCTGTAATCCCAACTACTTGGGAGGCTGAGGCAGGAGAATTGCTTGAACTCAGGAGGCAGAGGTTGCAGTGAACTGAGATTGTGCCACTGCAACCCAGCCTGGGCGACAGAGTGAGACTCTGTCTCAAAAAAAAAAAAAAAGCAAGTGATTTTCTCTGAATTGCAATGTTGTACATCAAAGCAACCAATCTACTGAAAGTTCTTCAAAACTGCAGGTACTCTAGAAAAAAAAATCAATCCATCTAAGAAAAATATCAAGTTATTTCTATGTTCTTAATACAATGCTAAAGTTCATTCTGAGTCTCTAAATTTTATTACAAATTAATTCTATTACATAATTAAAGTCACCAAATACAAGCTCTCTTACTTAGTTTTTGTAAAAGTTAATGACGCAGGATTTTTCTCAGCCAGTTTCAGGATTTTCTCAGCCAGTTTGACAACCAGGGACCTCCACAGCCAGTGATGCCCCCTCGGCCCTGGGGCCTGGCATCAGAGGTACCCTGCCTACTTTGCCTGCTGGGCTGAGACTGGCTTATGCACTGGCTCAGCCCATGGCTGGGCCAGACATGCCCTAGCTTGCCTGTGTTACAGCTTGTACCCACATTCGGCAGTTTCCGAGCTGATGACCCATGTCCAAGAAGTATGAGATTACACTAACATTTTGAAGGGTGAGGCGGGTGGAGAATAGCTTTACTGAGTGACAGAACAGCTCTTAGCAGAGAGGGGATGCGGGGGCTAGTCCTCCACCCCCACAGTCAGGTGGTTTCTCTCCCTGTGTGGCTGAGTCTGGTGCTTTTATGGGCTCAGAATAGGGGAGTGGGTGCTGATTGGTTTGTGAGTATGGGAAGAAAGGCTAAAGCAAAGGCACTACTCAAAAGTGAGCATGGCAGTGTATAAAACCAATTAGGAAAGGGTAGGTATATGTATTATAAAATAAGTGAAGTATAGAGATCACTCAGAGGAAAGCACACCAAACAGGAAGACAGGTTCTCAATCTGGTTTACCCAGGACTATCTTTGGCTTGAAGGTCAGGTTTCACCAGAGTCCTGCCCCTATGTGCCTAGGCATTTGACTGCCTCTTGTCACTATCATTAATTCATAGAAGTAACTGTACTAAGTAAAAATATATGCATGAATAGCACCCAGAAAAAGTCTGAAAGGGTGTACCGGGACTATTTTTGTTTCAAATTTGGAGAAAACCAACTGAAGTCAACTTAAGCAAAAAAAGAGAATGTATTTGTTTGCATAACTGAAAATCCAGTTTCGACAGGATTTGGTCATAGGCCAATCCCCATCTTACCACCATGGATAGGGGAATGGATGGGTGGAGGGAGATAAAGTATTTGGCCAAACCTAGATGAGTGCTCTAACCTTGGAACCCCAGGCCAAAATGGGGGAAATGTGGATATCTGAGCAAAAATTACAGGTTGAAGGCTGTGTCAAGGATAAGGAAAAATGAAATTGGGAAGGTAACAACTGAAAGAGAGAAATAGAGACAAAAAATAAGAAAACAAAAAGGGACTATTCATTGGGTAGTTGGGGATTACAGTTGAATTTCCCTTTGTTCTGTTTGTAAAAAAATTATGTCTTTCAATTTGAAAAATACACTAAAATATTTGCAGTTATTCTTACTGGGAAGCAAAAGAATAATAGAGACTTAACTTAGTAATAAAACCCAGAGAACTATCATATAAAGAAATCTTAAAGTCCAGATAAAATGATCTGTAAGAGTGAATTTCTAGCTTAATCAGTTTATTAAAAATCCTGCACATCCAGGGTTTCTGGGCATTGCTGAGCAAAAAGTGATTCTTTGGGTTGCCAAAGGCATGCTTCAGTCATCCTCTTCAGGAATATATCTGAGGAGAGTTAATGCCAGAAATGTGTGGAAAAGGCCTCAGGCAGGAATATTCACAGACTCTAAATTGATTGTGGAGTTTCTAATCTCTTTCTCAGGAATTTTAATGTCAGGGAATAGATTAAGAGGTCCAGCTTAGCTCAGAAAACCAAAGTTCAACCTTTAGAGTCAGAATCAGCATCAAAATTCATTCCATGAATATATCTTAGTGTCCCTGTAAAAGAGGAGATACATAATTGATGCACTGAAGATCTCAGCATGATATTGAAATGGAAGCATTTGCAAGATAGGTTTATGAGAAATGAATATGGGCTTTGTTTTGTTCTTACGATAATCTATGTAAAGCATTGCTATAAAGCTAATTTCCTGTATGTGCTAATATGTGCCTTTCCAAAGATAGCTATCCAAAGAAAGAATGGGTCACATCAGGGAAATAATATTTCTACATTTGCAGAAATTGTAAATCTACAATTGTAAATTAGAAAAATTAGCAATGGTATTTCATAATTTATTAGGCTTATCTGCTTCCAATGATGAACATCAAAGTTAAGTGTGTAAAACTTACATTTTCCTGTAATTTATTTCGTTTTGAAATCAAATAAACCAATGTGTAATTATAAATTATTTCTTTTGCAAGGCAAAGCATTAATTCCAGTCTTCTTTATCCTCAAATATCCACGAATAATATGCTTTACATAGCATTGTCAATTATTTGACAAGATAAATAATCCATAATACCAAGTTACTGCCTTGTTAAAAACACACATAGAGTGAATCCTAATGTAAAGTATGGACTTTAGCTGATAGTAATGTGTCAATGTAGGTTCATCGATTGGAAGAAATGCACAACTCTGATGAGCGATGTTGATAATGGGACAGGTTGTACCTGTGTGGGGGTGGGGGTTTCTGTGTAGGGACTCTCTGTATTTTCCACTCAGTTTTGCTGTGAACCTAAAACTGCTCTTAAAAATAAAGTTTATTAATTTTTATTAAAGCACACACAAAATCTTATTTTTATCTATAAATGTTATTCTAAGAAGTATTTCAATAATTGTATTCATAGCTGCAGAAATTCAGGCTATTCACAAAATTTATGCTACCAATTTTTTTTTTTATTATTTAAGTTCTAGGGTACATGTGCACAACATGCAGGTTTGTTACGTATGTATACATGTGCCATGTTGGTGTGCTGCACTCATTAACTTGTCATTTACATTAGGTATGTCTCCTAATGCTATCCCTCCCTCCTCCCCCAACCCCATGACAGGCCCCAGTGTGTGCTGTTCCCCACCCTGTGTCCAAGTGTTCTCATTGTTCAATTCCCGCTTATGAGTGAGAACATGTGGTGTTTGGTTTTCTGTCCTTGTGATAGTTTGCTCAGAATGATGATTTCCAGCTTCATCCATGTCCCTACAAAGGTCATGAACTCATCCTTTTTTATGGCTGCATAGTATTCCATGATGTATATGTGCTACATTTTCTTCATCCAGTCTATTATTGATGGACATTTGAGTTGGTTCCAAGTCTTTGCTATTGTGAATAGTGCCGCAATAAACATACATGTGCATGTGTCTTTATAGCAGCATGATTTATGATCCTTTGAGTATACACCCAGTAATGGGATGGCTGGGTCAAATGGAATTTCTAGTTCTAGATCCTTGAGGAATCGCCACACTGTCTTCCACAATGGTTGAACTAGTTTACAGTCCCACCAACAGTGTAAAAGTGTTCCTATTTCTCCACATCCTCTCCAGCACCTGTTGTTTCCTTACTTTTTAATGATCACCATTCTAACTGGTGTGAGATGGTATCTCACTGCGGTTTTGATTTGCATTTCTCTGATGGCCAGTGATGATGAGCATTTTTTCACGTGTCTATTGGCTGCATAAATATCTTCTTTTGAGAAGTGTCTGTTCATATCCTTTGCCCACTTTTTGATGGGGTTGTTAGATTTTTTCTTGTAAATTTCTTTAAGTTCTTTGTAGATTCTGGATATTAGCCCTTTGTCAGATGGGTAGATTGCAAAACTTTTCTGCCATTCTGTAGGTTGCCTGTTCACTCTGATGGTAGTTTCTTTTGCTGTGCAGAAGCTCTTTAGTTTAATTAGATCCCATTTGTCAATTTTGGCTTTTGTTGCCATTGCTTTTGGTGTTTTAGTCAAGAAGTTTCTGCCAATGCCTATGTCCTGAATGGTATTGCCTAGGTTTTCTTCTAGGGTTTTTATGGTTTTAGGTCTAACATTTAAGTCTTTAATCCATCTTGAATTAATTTTTGTATAAGGTGTAAGGAAGGGGTCCAGTTTTAGCTTTCTACATATGACTAGCCAGTTTTCCCAGCACCATTTATTAAATAGGGAATCCTTTCCCCATTGTTTGTTTTTGTCAGGTTTGTCAAAGATCAGATGGTTGTAGATGTGTGGTATTAATTCTGAGGGCTCTGTTCTGTTCCATTGGTCTATAGCTCTGTTTTGGCACCAGTACCATGCTGTTTTGGTTACTGTGACCTTGTAGTATAGTTTGAAATCAGGTAGCATGATGCCTCCAGCTTTGTTCTTTTGGCTTAGGATTGTCTTGGCAATGTGGGCTCTTTTTTGTTTCCATATGAACTTTAGAGTAGTTTTTTCCAATTCTGTGAAGAAAGTCATTGGTAAGTTGATGGGGATGGCATTGAATTTATAAATTATCTTGGGCAGTATGGCCATTTTCACGACATTGATTCTTCCTATCCATAAGCATGGAATGTTCTTCCATTTGTTTGTGTCCTCTTTTATTTCGTTGAGCAGTGGTTTGTAGTTCTCCTTGAACAGGTCCTTCACATCCCTTGTAAGTTGGATTCCTAGGTATTTTATTCTCTTTGAAGCAATTGTGAATGGGAGTTCACTTATGATTTGGCTCTCTGTTTGTCTGTTATTGGTGTATAAGATGCTTGTGATTTTTGCACATTGATTTTGTATCCTGAGACTTTGCTGAAGTTGCTTATCAGCTTAAGGAGATTTTGGGCTGAGACGATGGGGATTTCTAAATATACAATCATGTCATCTGCAAACAAGGACAATTTGACTTCCTCTTTTCCTAATTGAATACCCTTTATTTCTTTCTCATGCCTGATTGCCCTGGCCAGAACTTCCAACGCTATGTTGAATAGGAGTGGTGAGAGAGGGCATCCCTGTCTTGTGCCAGTTTTCAAAGGGAATGCTTCCAGTTTTTGCCCATTCAGTATGATATTGGCTGTGGGTTTTCATAAATAGCTCTTATTATTTTGAGATATGTTCCATCAATACCTAGTTTATTGAGAGTTTTTAGCATGAAGGGCTGTTGAATTTTGTCAAAGGCCTTTTCTGCATCTACTGAGATAATCATGTGGTTTTTGTCTTTGCTTCTGTTTATATGCTGGATTACGTTTATTGATTTGCATATGTTGAACCAGCCTTGCGTCCCAGGGATGAAGCCAACTTGATTGTGGTGGATAAGCTTTTTATGTGCTGCTGGATTCGGTTTGCCAGTATTTTATTGAGGACTTTTCATAGATGTTCATCAGGAATATTGCGCTAAAATTCTCTTTTTTTGTTGTGTCTCTGCCAGACTTTTGTATCAGGATGATGTTGACCTCATAAAATGAGTTAGGGAGGATTCCCTCTTTTTCTACTGATTGGAATAGTTTCAGAAGGAATGGTACCAGCTCCTCTGTATACCTCTATGCTACCACATTTTTTTACTTTGTTTTCTTTAGGTACTTATTTCTCCTTTTCTCAATTATCTCATACTGATACAATTAATCTCTGTAAAAAATAAATTCCCTGAGCTTCTATTTTTCCAGAGTGCCCTAGAGATGAATCTCAATGCAGCTTTGTAAAGTATGAAGCACAAGGCTTTTTTTATTCTTCCGGGAATATTACATTTCATGTTTCACTTTTATGGAGAAATCAGTAACAAACCACTCCCCCATCTGTTTGCTTAATAGAATATTTCAGTCAATGAGGCTGGTGTCTTGGAGCCAGACAGGCCTGGTGGCATCTGAAACCATTTTCCTAACTGTTTCAGAATCAGCAAAACACAAAGCTGGTTTTACCACGTGCTTTTACTCTTTAATGTTTAAATTTGTGCACATTGTGATGGAAATGTAATCCATCTGTTTCATTAGCACTTAATTCAACAAATTATTGTTTTATAAGAGGAATTTGATGTCCAAGATGCCTTGTGAGTCTTTTTATTCTCCCCATTGGAACCCCTGGGAAGTGGGGTTTTCCAAAGATAAATGTATCTCAGAGTTTAGAAGGCACTGGTGTAGTGAACAATATCATAATATTAATATCCTTTATCCTAGAAAAGTTGTGTCCAGTACCACCAGAAAGATTAATTTAAAATACAGTCTAGTGGATTTAATTATTAAGCTTTCGTTTCCAGTTTCTTGGCTTCTTTCAAATTTTTTCTAATTCCATATATCCCTAAGTGGTATAGTACATTGTTCCCAACCTGAATAATTTTTTTTCCATGCTCTGACCATCAAGAGGTTATGTTTTTCTACCAAAGGCTTTGATTACCACGAAGTGATTCCATTTCCCTAGGGCCTAGCTCTGTGTACATTTGGATGTGTTTGCATTGTCTGTATAGGAAAGCCCCAGGCATATTCCATATCACTAACTCTGCAGGATCTTGATGTGTGTTATATTTTAAAAGGCTGTGTGGACTCATAAATTTTGGAAACACCAGGTTAAAGGAGACTCAATGGGCTTTTTAGTTCAGGATTTTGGGGACTTTACTATTTTAATGAGCACTATGCGTCCCCTAGAGAGGGCAGCATATGGAGCGCTGCAGAACTCTTTCAGCATGGAGCACGCTTTTCTCGGAGCATCTGGACTATTATTCCGTGGGAAAAACTTTGGAAATTCTAACCTACATCTTTTCTCTTTGCATTTATTTCATTACCTCCTGGTGTCTGGTGTCTATTGTCTAAAGACAAACAACAAACTGCCTTCTTTTAACATTTAATTTAATTTTCTTTTCATTACAGAGGGCAGGATTGTTCTGTTTCGCTGAAGAAACAATCCTACCATTAATAGAGTCTGAAGTATCAAAGAATATTTTGCAACTATTTGAATGGAAATCCCCATTTGTGGTTTTAGTGGGCAGTGTGGCAGCTTGGCATTAGAAGAGCTGCATTGCATTTCTTTGATTAATTTCTATCAAATTGTGCTACTGTAGGTAATTTATCTGTTTTTTTAATCCTGTGAGAATTGGCCCATCTTTACTAAATTGCAAAAAGAGGAAGCAGAAAGACATTTTAAAAATAGCTTAAAAGTAAGAAAGAGATAATGTCGGCAGCCTTTTCTATGAAGGTGAGTTCTACCTGTCTGTCTGTCTGTCTATCTAGAAGTACATGCATGTAAGGATATAGAAATTTAGAATTACTTTTTCTCTTTCATCCTAAGGCTCATCTCCCTAAAATGTCTTTTCAGTATTTGTCTCAATTCCATGCCTCAATTTTCTACCTGGTTTAGGAATCACCTTGAGAGATGGATGGGTAGAGAATCTCATGAGAACAGTCACATCCTTTAGGAGGGCCTATATAAATCTTTCACTTCACCAATGCCTTAGGGACATGTGTGTGTGTTTATAGAAAGTGGAGGGAGGTCACAAATTCCTAACTCAGAGGAGGAAAGAAATAAACTTTACTCTTTTCTCAGGTGAGTCAGTTCTACACGAAGAGTGTTGGGAAGCTTCTTTTGGCTGTAACTCTAACTTCAATCTCCATTTTAAGGGCCAAGGATGCCACCTAAACACACAGTAATTGTTTAGTGAAATCACCTGCATTAGACTTGCGCTTTCCCCTCATTCTGCCCATATTCCATCCACCTGGTTTATTCTAAGATGATAAATGATAATGCTCTTTTTTGCTGCCTGAATTCTGCTAATATCTCTCAATATTTTTCCTATTCACGCATAAAGGGATTCATAAAGGATTCATGACTTCCTCTCTGTTTATGTGCAATGTCTTTTGCATTATATATGCCACACTAAATTCATATATTCATTTGTCAACCATTCATGCAACTCTCTACTTTTTCATATATTCATTAATGTATGCATTCATCCATTTAGCAAACATTTATTCTGCATGCACAACACAGCAGTTAAGGGTGTTTTCAAAGTTTTTACCTTCAAACTAAGTAAAAATCATCCCAGATTTCCTACAAAAAGACTTCCAGATGAAATGTAAATACAGAATAAAATAAATATTAAAGGCCAATAGCAACATTAATGGCAGGTTTAATTCATTTTAGCTTAGAAATGGGATTCTTTTCTTGGGCTCATATAATATCCACATAATTCTAGGATTAATCTTGGGTCCAGAATCACAAGGAATAATATTTTGCTTAAATATAATATTCCACATAGGAAACTGAGTCAATATTTTACATTTTCCCTAGGCTCCAGCTTCTGATTTTATTGTGCTATAGTATTGCAATCACCTTTTATTTTAGTTGTTAAATGGAATATCACTTTGGAATGAAAATACCTGAGAGATAGAATGATATAGTATATAGGACAAGTCCCATAATATAATTAAATATGGCACTGATGTTTACTGCATTCTATTTGCTTGTGTTAGCTAAAATTTAAATAGCCAGTGTGGAAAAAGGAAATAATTTATTCAAATGAGTTTTCAAAACGTTGAAATAATTCCCTTTTATGCCTAGATTACCAGCTCTCTTAAATCTTCATAGTTCTGTGATTCTCCAACAAATTTTCCTTTCTCTGCTTCTGTTTAAATCAGATCTCCCCAAGAGAGTTGTCTAAACTCAATGTCTTCAATTTCTTTCTTTTCTTTTGTTAACTAAGTGAATGCTAATTAGGCTTCATCTCAGTCATTATTCCTAACTGTATCATGCCAATTGCCCAGGATAAAGAAATTGGGAGTCATTCTAGACCCTCTTGTGTCTTGCATACCCCACATCCAATCCATCAACAAATCACATCAGTTCTTCCTGTAAATGTTATCCAGGATACAACAGACTGACTCACCACTTCTACAGCTACCATCTTGGTCTAACTTGTGGCACTAATGTTGCCAGACTCATAGGACCCAAAATAAAATGAATGCAAATATAATGTTTATTGCTGGTAAAGCACAGGATTAAAGTAAGAATGCATTCTGGCCAAAGGCTGCCTCTCAGCAAGGGGTCTAGAAAGTCTGTATATAGGCGCCAATCATCTCCTATTTGTAGGACTCTATTGTTTTCTCTCAAAGATCAGGGACCTCCAATGTGTCCAAGAAACACCCAGGTGGATTTCTGACTGGGTTTTTTAATTCCTTGCTGGACATGTGGGCATGTTCTCTGCGACATAACATGCTTTTCCTTTATACAGCTGCTTGTCCTCCTCCCTTGTCTCCTTCAAGTCAATTATTTATCCTCAGCATCAGAGCCCTGTGGAAGTCTCACTGAAACCAGGTACAAATCATCAATCTCACTGTTACCAGTAAACAAAATAATGCTGAAAACCTGGTAATAACCACCCTGAAACTTGCCTTGGCCTCATGGTTACAAAGTAACACTATTATCCTGTATATTTCATGCCTTGACTAAGGGATCAGTGTCATCCAGATACATCTCCTACGTTTAACAAAACAGCTCAGGCCAATTCCAGGCCTGCTGGAATTAACTGACACAGCACAACCCTGTCAGTTCGCTCCTGAATTGTTGCGCTTTTCCCTGCTTCCATTTTGAGGCTTGACAGCCTATTCTTAACATAACCAGAGTGATCCTTTGAGAAAACAAGTGAGAACGTGACACTCCTCTACATAAAACCCTCCATAAATTCCTTCCTTTCATGGCCTAGAAGGCCCACACCGTCTAGACCTCTACCTCCTTCCCTTTCCAGCTTGGTCTTCTCCAACTTTCCCCCTTACTTCCTCCACTCTCGTCACACTGGCCTCCTCACTGTGGAGGTCATGGCTGGAAACAGGCCTGTGTGCCACTGCCCTTCTGCCTGACACGCTCTTCCTTTAGATAGTGCTTGGCCTCCTCCCTCATCTCAGCTAGGTAAATTTTCAAATCTCATCTTCATAGTGAAGCTTTCCACAATGAAAATCGAAAAGATCCCTCTCCAAATGTTTCTTTTTTAATCTTCTGTGCTTTCAGTTTTCTTCAGATAATTCATAACCATCTGATATGCTATATGTTTTACTATCTTTTCTTTACTATCTGTCTTCATCACAGATTGTAATCTCTCTGAGGAAGGAGGCATCTATTTGAGATTCATTGCCAAATCTCCAACTCCTAGAACAATGCCTGCTAAACAGTTGAATGAATGACAGGTTGTAAATTCATATCTGAAAATTTAGAGTATTCATTAGAGGTCTGGGCTTAAAAGCATAGGAATCATCTCTTAAATCAAACACCTGACAGATTTAAAAACAAAAGTCTTATTTCATAATACCCAGGAAATGCTGAACTCCAGGAAGTGTGTAGGGTCTCAGCAAATGAATATACTATCTGGCTGAAGTGGAATTAAGGAAAATACCTCACATGTTCAGGGAAGATCATTGCTTATAAATTTACTTTATACATTTGAGCTTTTAGAATGTAAGCAACTCAAAAATTAGGTAGGTTTTTGTTTTAGTTTTTTAACTATAAATCAAGATACTGTGAGATAAGTTCTTCAAATTCCTGGAAATGAGGGAGCATCCAGAGTTTAGACTTGGCTTCCATTGGGGTGATCATGGAAGGTTTCATGGAGGATAAACATTGAGGCTGGATGATGTAACCACACATCCAGGTGCCCCTGCTTCTACCTGGATTTCTCCTAGGCCTCTTAAACTCTCAAGTCAATAGCTGGGACTTCATCTTTGCTAGATCAAATCTGTGATCCTGTGCTAATCCTAATCTCACTGAATGGAACTAGCATCCACTTAATTGAAAAAAAACCAAACAAACCAAAAAAAAATAGGCCAGGCGCGGTGGCTCACACCTATAATCCCAGCACTTTGGGAGGCCTAGGTGGGCAGATCACCTGAGGCTGGGAGTTCGAGACAAGCCTGACCAACATGGGGAAACCCCATCACTACTGAAAATACAAAATTAGCCGGGCATGGTGGCACATGCCTGTAATCCCAGCTACTCAGGAGGCTGAGGCAGGAGAATCACTTGAACCTGGGAGATGGAGGTTGCAGTGAGCCGAGATCATGCCATTGCATTCCAGCCTGGGCAATAAGAGCAAAACTCTGTCTCAAAAAAAAAAAAAATTAGAAAACTTGGAAAAACATCTTTATGTCTTTTTTTTTCCCCTCAACCCCCAAAACTAACCAAACATCAATTTTAGCAAGTAAATATTGGTATATCTTCCCACTCCTTTCCATGACCCCTAACACTGCTCCAATAATGCCATCATTATTTTTTACCTGGATACTCACCAAAACCTCCTAACTGATCATATTGTCTTCCATCTCACTGACCTCTATGTTCTCCAAACAACCAAAACGCAACTTTCAAAAATGCAGAATGTGTTGCACCTCTGCTTCCATGATTTTCTATTGTTCTTAAACAAAATTAAACCTCTTAACATAACTGTCTTGGAAGGCCATTTGTGCCTCTGCTTTTTTCTCCAGCCTCAACTCTTTCCACCCTTTCCCTTACCTGTTGTGAGTGCTCCCAATTGAGCTACTTTTAGAATCTACAATATACTAGGCTGAAATCTACTATTCCTTCCTGTATAATTTCCTCAGGGAAGTTACCCTGACCTCCATGTTACAACTTTCTACCATACATATAGTCCACAGACTGAAGTCAAATGCTCTTGCATTGCATTTCCACCACATTTGGAAATTCCCCTGACAGAGTACTTACAACACATTACTGTAGTTGCTTCCTTAATCACATCTTTCCCACAAGACCATAGTAATAGTAAAGATTAATTGAGTGATTACTGCATGCCAGATTCTAAGTGTGATACATAAATTCATTCATTACACACAACACCTGATGAGGGATGTCTTCTTTTACAGTTAAGGAAACTAAAGCACAGAGAAGTACAATAATGTATCCGGGTTCATACATCGTGGAAGTAGCAAAATCAGTATTTGAGGCCAGAAAATCTGCTCTTAAGCCCAACAATATTTATGAGAGAACACAACACTATATATATACTTTAAAAACATTTTTTGCTTTAATTATAAATAATTTCACAACTAATAAAACAAACAACAACCACCAAAAAAATAAAGCCTTGAGCTCCTCTTGAAAAATCCATAATCTGTGTGCACTGTGGCCTGTGCCCCCTTATGGCACAATACTCTTTACAAGGGGCATGGAATTTCCAGCTTTCCATGATCTCCACTTTCTGTTGTCACCCTGATAGAACATGTTTCCTCCTTTATCATATTTGTTTACCATTATAAATTTCTTGGGAATAAGGACCTTGCCTATCTTATTGCCCCAGTATTAGGATCCCCAATATTAAGCGAAGTTTCCAGGCAAAATATAGGTATTGGATAAATATTTATCAATTACGTGAAGTAATGAATGCATGAATTGCAGAGATATTAGAGAAAGTAAAGGTGATACATTCAAACAGGGAAAACTACCTAAGTAAAGCAATCTCCTAAAGATATTTTTATAAGGGTGTTATAATTATGTTATCCATTTTTCATGAAATCATAGACTTCTGAAGTTTCTCTGTGTAATTTTCTAATTTTTGTATCTGTGCTGCCGAAGCAAGCACAATTATGTAATTTTCTGTCCTTAAATAGTACTTTCTGGGAGTAAGTAATGACAATTCTTAACTGTACCTCTCGTGCACTCTTGAATTAAGATTTAAGCATCATTTACTGATTTTCATCTTTTATTTGTTACTGTATATGCAACATGCTGTTCAACCAATCATTAACTATATTCTATGTGAGTGTAGTGTGTTAGTATAAAACAATAAACGAACAAAACCCCCAAACCTTCTTAAGTCAATATTATGAAGATGATTAATATCAGTGTTGTGTCAAAGACTTTAAGAACATGTTACGAAGATTGCTGATGATGTGGTTTCTATATCCTAGAGAAACAGCAGGCTCTGGAGTCCCTGGAGAAAGTTGGTCTCTCCCTCCTTTCAGTATAGATTTTCTCTACCCAACAGAAATCAATTAATCTTTTTATGCCCAAGTTTATGCTTCTATAAACTGGAGAAAACCGTTGCTACCTACACTAAGAAGAATGTTCTGACAAATAATGAAGTCATGTCTGAAATGCAATATATAACAACAAAGTATCATGATTTTGAGGGGGTTGGAATTAGCTTGTTTTCCATTTTCTAATTAGTCTGTAATAACTGAAGGACAGTCTAATAATTCTTGACTCCTTTTTCTGGGTTACTCAAGCAGCTCCTAGGAATTCTAAAGTGCACATGTAACACTCTATCTATTGCAAGCTGCTTCATGTATAAACCAATGATATACAAGTAGGGTGCAAGATATTCCGTTAAGAAGAAAATAAGAGGAATTTGCCTCATTTTCAATATTTTCCAAGATAAGCAATGTGACTTTCCCCTTGATTTGGTTATATTCACTTTCTGTAGTAAATGTTCAAAAGTCATTTATTAGGACAGAGGGAAAATGTGCTGTCACTTTCTCTGAACCAATAAAGAAAACTTTGAAGTTTCCAGCAAAAGAAATTTCATTACAGAGCATTGGTGTTTTGGGAAGCATTATAGTGTTGATATAGCAAATGTTAATTAAGTGACCAGTAACTTAAACAGGATCAATCTAACCTCTTCTTGTCACTGATATTTGTGAGGTACGGTTGTTTATAAAGTACTTTTGGGCTTGGAGTAAAGTACGTTTTCCCATATTATTCAGTAATTCACTGCTTCTGTGCAATCTTCAATTATTTTTAGAGTTTGGGATTTGGAGGAAATGCCTTTACAGTTTTAGTTACATTGCAAATTAAATTCTAATTTATACGAAGCTAACTCAGTCTTTCTTCTTTCCAGGAAATGTAACAGAAAGCTGTAAGGGCATTAGCCACCTTGAGTCTTTTTATCAAGGTGTGTTCAGATGGGGAAAGGCACCTAATAGAGGTTTAGTAAAGACTGAAGTTTAGTAAAAACTTTATTATCAAAATCTATTTTATTATAATTATTTTCTTGCACTTTTCTAATTGACTTCTTTTCAAATGGTTATTTACATACTGCTCTTCCTGCATCATATTTCTCATTTTAAAAAGCTTTTGCCAAAAGCCTTTTCCCCCTTCTTTGAATAGGAAAAAGATTTTTTGGTTCTTAATTGAAAAGACATTTGCTTTGGCAACTCTCTTTTCTCTTCGATTAACTGTGAAGCATTCTGAGGTCTGAGAAAGAAGTTTTATCCCTAAGAAGATCAATCCCCAGTTGTTGGTAGTTTAACCCATCTTGGTGGAAAAGACCAGGAGAAGGGGGGAGAAACAAGGGGTCTTAGGTTTACACTGATAAGAAAAGACTGTAAATATTGAATTATATTGTATGACAGTTAAGGCTGACTTCCGACTTGAAGGTGAGGGTGGGTAGAATGGAGAACTTCTACATGAAATGAAAGCCTCTGCCTTCATTTTGAAAGAAAGGGAAGGCTATGCATGTTTACCCTGCATTTGCCTGTAGAATTCAATCATTCCCTGGCATAAGCTCCCCACTAACTTACCAGAAGCCTCCTCACACCCAGACACATATGTTTTCAATTGAAAAGTGCTTACAAAAAGACCACCTGCCAGCAAAGGGAATGTTTTTTGTCTCCCAGTGGGGTTCTTACAGACAGGACTGAATGTAGTTAAGCAGGAACAGAACTAGAAGCCTAAAACCATGATGTTACAGGCTAGCATGCTTATTGAGATTTTCTTTGAAATAGAAAAGGAAAATGTATAAGATACTAAAATGATCATTGTTATTTTGTTTTGTTGGGACTCCATCAGAACTTTGAATCCTTTCTTCCCCGACACTTCCTTTTCATATTTCTTTGTTCAGTCATGTTTTGTGATATGCTTGAATAGTTTTAACTAAATAATAAAGTATTTAAAATAGTTTTAGTTTTTGAGAGGTATGACTTTAAAGCAAATGAAAGGATTTTCCATTGTGAGTGTAGGTGAAAACGAATCCTGTTGTTTACTCTGTACCTATTATACAGTCACCAAAAGCAGAGGGAATCACACAGGTTGCTGAAGAACTAACAGCTGAATCATTTAAGTATTAAAATTAACCTTGAGCATCAAATAGCAAACTTCCACACACACAGAGTGAGGTTGTTTGGATGGAAATTGAGGAAGGGGAGAATGAAAGAGGGGAGAAACTGAATATCCTCGAGTTTAGGAATGGGGTCATTCCTTATTTCTTGTTGCTGCCATTTTCTTTTCACACATACTCAGTCACTCTATGAAGTGTAAACAGATGCTGGGGGACTGAGTTCTGGGATTTGATAACACTTTTTTTTTCTTTTTTGAATGAAAGAAAAGCCGGATGAGGGAAGCCCGGCCGCAGTATTGGGTGAGATAAAAAAGCTGTAAGTAAAAGGTTCACACCTATTTTGTTTCATAAAATTAACCTCACAATCAAATAGCTAGAGGAAATGCTTCCTCCTTTGACATTCTTAGAATCCTCTTCCTCCTCCCCATTGGAGGGCTTTATATTAATCTCACAAGTACAGAGATTGCAAGTAAAACAATTCCATCAGCAGTGATAGCCTTGTGTGGGAAGTCTGAGTGGACCGGCCCTCATGCAAACACTGCAGGCACATTCCACAGGGATGAAAGTGATCTCAGACACCCAGCTCCAGTTGACAAAATCTAGGAGTCAGGTGACAAAGTGGTGACATGGTCAATGATGACAGCCAAGAAGCAGTTCCAAGTTAATATCACATACAGAGACTTGAGCCAGCTTCATTCTGTATCACATTGTTATGTAGCAGAGACAAACAGCAGTGAGGAAAAAAAAAATTAAAAAATTCATTCCACTAGCCTTCATTGTTGTGTAATGAGATAACAATACAAAGGTTTGCTACCCATGGGAGGTCTTTGAGCAATTTACCACCCAGGAACCAAAGTGAACTAGATGAATTCTTCTTAAAACAATAAGCTGAAGGTTCTAACTTGCATGACCTCACCAGGCAAAAGCGAAGTGAAGAAATAGGAATATAATAAGGAAATAGATACATTTCCTATGGTATCTTTCTCATGACATTTTTCTCTTGAGAATTCATGGGCTAGCACTGTTTTACAATAACCTGCTTTAGAAATAGCATGAGAGAAGCATATGCAATCCATGTTTAATGAACTGAGAGTAGTCTTTTGGTTAAATGATGTATTAAATCCCTGCCAAGGCAACCCCTGGTCTATGATCCCCTAGGAAACAAGGATTGAGAGTTTTCCAGAAGTATCCATTGCTTTCTTGTTTCTTATGGAAAAATCTATTTTTTAATGTTTTTTTTGTTGTTGTTGTTCTTTTTCCCAGAAGAACATGTGTAAATCATGAGGTTCATTTTTTCTTGCTCTGCAAAACAAAATCTTTAACTTCTACCAAAGTTAGCATTTATGGTACAGTAGTCCCCCCTTATCCACAATTTTGCTTTTCACAGTTTCAGTTACCGATGGTGAACCACACTCTGAATATATATGTATATATATGTACAAATTATATATATCCAGAAAAAATATATATGGATGTATCTATATATAGAGAGATTTTTTTTTTCTTTTTGAGACAAGGTCTGGCTCTGTCACCTAGGCTGGAGTGCAGTGGTGCTATTTCTACTCACTGCAACCTCTGCCTCCCAGGTTCAAGCCAGCCTCCTACCTTAGCCTCCCGAATAGCTGGAACTACAGGTGTGCACCACCATGCTAGCTAATTTTTGTATTTTTGTAGAGACGGGGTTTCGCCATATTGCCCAGGCTGGTCTCGAACTCCTGAACTCAAGCAATCTGCCCTCTGTGGCCTCCCAAGTGCTAGAATTACAGGGGTGAACCACTGTGCCAGGCCCTGAAAATATTAAATGGGGAAGTCTAGAAATAAACAATTCCTAAATTTTAAAGTGTGCACTATTCTGAGTAGTGTGATGAAACATTGCACCTTCCCAACTGTGACTTGAATTATCCCTTTGTCCAGTATATCCACGCTGGAGACACTACCCGCCCAGTCACTTAATAGCTGTCTGGGTTATCAGATTGACTGTTGTGGTATGTGCTTATGTTCAAGTGACCCTTTTTTTTTTTAATAATGGCCTCAAAGTGTAAGTGTAGTGATGCTGACATATCGTTATAACTATTCTATTATATTGTTGTTAAGCTTTTACTGTGCCTAATTTATAAGTTAAACTTTGTTATAGGTATGTATGTATGTATAAGAAAAATCATAGCAGATATTGGGTTCAGTACTATCCTCAGTTTTAGATATCAACTGGGGTGCTTGAAACATATGCCCCATGGATAAGAGGGCTCACTGTATCTATTTTACTTACAGGCAGTAGCTCAGAACTACACATCTCAGCCAAATTTTCTTCTTATGTTACATGTTTCCAGTTTTAGAATGAAAGCAAAATGTCTCAATGGGAGAGAAAATCTATTACCTTGTTCAGAATACTCATAGAGCATGGCAGAAAAAAAAAATCACTTTTTTTCTCATTTTCATGACGTTAAGACCTTGAATTTGATCTTTCTACCTGTCACCTAGTCTTTTTGTTCCTGCCCTTCCCTCCCAACATCTCTCTCTTGCTCCCTCCTTCCTTGCTTCCTTCCTTCCCTTGACAAAAATTCACAGACAACCATTTACTCTGTACCAGGTAGTTCTGCTAGGTTCCACCGGTGCCAGAAACATCACCTAAGAAGAATAAAAGTTTTCTCTTTTACATTTTACTTCTGAAAATTTGAATTTTATCCTAAAAAGTATAAATCACTTTTCAAAGATATTCCAGAGAATTTTATAAAAAATATTTATTTTAAAACAGAGGTCAGCAAACTTTTTTTTTGTAAAGGGCCAGACAGGAAATATTTTAGGCTTTGTGGGTCGTATGGTCTCTGTTGCAACTGCTCAAGTTTGCCACTGTAGAACTAAAGCAGCCGTGGATGATACCTAAACAAACGGGTGTGACTGTGTTCCAAAAAATTTTATTTACAGAAACAGGTAGTAGGCTAGATTTGGCCCATGAACTGTAGTTTGCTTACCCTGATCTAAAATATTGAAACAAAGCCCACTAGTCCAGACAAGTGCAGTCCAGCTATTAGTGCCAATAGCATCATGCATGAGCCATAGTAAGCATTAAATTACATATCAGAGTACATTGATCTTAAGCAGACTATTAACTATCTCAGGGCTTCAGTCTCTTTATTTACAAATTCATAAAGAAGCCTAATTAGATATTTTGAGTGTTTTTCTAACTATAAACTTTGGTTATGTCTTATATATACAACCAGACTTCACAAGAATAGAAGCTGCTTGCTACAATTTGCTGAGCAATGTATGTAGAGAGCAGGTATCTCTTGTCACTGATAAGACATGAAGGGTGGAAATTGGTCACTCGAGTAAAAATTATAAATTATGTTAAACAAATAATAAAAGGTAAATCACACTTCATAAAAATTTTATGTACATTTCCTCCTGATTCTCATTACAACTATGGTCCTCATTACAACTGCATTAGATAGCAAGAATAGTTACTATTTCCCTTGTCTTTCAGATAAGAAAGTAAGAGATTAGAGAAATTACATGAGTTACCTATTTTTCAACATTTAATGCCTAGCTGGGCAGAATGTGAATGCCAGCCAAGTCTTAATTTAGAGCTCTTCAAACCATGACAGCCTCCTTCCAAATTACATACTTTTGAATTACTTTAAAAATTGCAATATGGGCCAGGCGCAGTGGCTCATGCCTGTAATCTCGGCACTTTGGGAGGCCCAGGCGGGTGGATCACTTGAGGTTAGGAGTTCGAGACCATCCTGGCCAACATAGTGAAACCCAGTCTCTACTAAAAATACAAAACTTAGCTGGGCGTGGTGGTGCGGGCCTGTAATCCCAGCTACTCGGGAGGCTGAGGCAGGAGAATTGCTTGAACCCATGGGGTGGAGGTTGCGGTGAGCCGAGATCACACTCCAGCCTGGGGAATAGAGCGAGACTCCATCTAAAAAAAAAAAAAAATGCAATATTAGTATAAAGTGATAAAACAGCAGTACCAATGTGACTATTAAATTACACCAGCAAAGGTAGGTATTTTGTAATAGAGTTCCATAAAGTAGATAAATGAACCGCTACCACCAACAGAAAAAAAAAAAATCAGTTGAAGAAACTATGTACAGTGCCTGTAGATGACACCAAAATACAAATCTCAAACCCTTAAGTGTATGAGGAGTTCAGGCCAAGCCGAGCTCTTCTGTTCTGCCCATGTTTACAAAGACATGCCATTTTTACTTTCTAGGAAAAAGTATAATGATCAAACTAATAATGTCTTTCTAATTAACTTCTTTAAAAATAAAAATACATTTACAAGCGGGTCACTTTAAAGATTGTGTTTTTCTCTTATTAAAGTTGAAGGTTTAGTCATTCCAGATGACAACAGAAATATTAATTATTTTTAAAAACTTTTTGCTGAGACATACCATTTTTACTTTCTAGGAAAAAGTATAGTGATCAAACTATTAATGTCTTTCTAATTAACTTCTTTCAAAATAAAAATACATTTACAAGCTGGTCACTTTAAAGATTGTGTTTTTCCCTTATTAAAGTTGAAGGTTTAGTCATTCCAGATGACAACAAAAATATTAATTATTTTTAAAAACTGTTTTTGCTGATTTAGTTTTCACTTTTTTTCATGTTTTTCACACTCCATCTGGTTTTATATATTCTGTATCCTTTTCCTTTTTGCCAAGTTGAAAAAAATGCACATGCATCAGTCTGCATCTTCAAAGCATTTTACAAACACTGCCAAATTGAAATTCTTTAGTGGTTAAAATGTTTTTCTCATGAGCTTCTAAAATACCTCAGTAAATGGTTTTTCTTTTGTTACCCAAAAAATTTTAGTTCTCTATTTAGACAAATATTGTCTGTATTTAATTTAGCACTTATTAGAACATACGTATAGTCAAAGCTTTTAAGGAAAAATATGTTAAGAAATAGGGAATCCTTCCTTTGTTTTCATTTTCTCATTAAGTTCAACATTGATTTAGGTGTCAAGCACGGTGCACAATGTATCCTAATATGAAGACAATGAAGTGAGCATGCCTTTAGGAACCCATGATTGTTGAGGGAGACAGATATGACTACACCATTTTATTACAGTAGGCTGTGGTGAGGGCCAGGATGAGAGAACAACGATGACATTGACAATGATGGTGACACTGACGATGATGACAACGACAATAATGGCAGGGGCAACAGCTAATACTAAGTCCTTATTGTATAGAAGGCGTTTTTTAAAAGCTTGCACACAATTAACGCAGTTAATATAGCCAACTGTGAAAGTTATGGTAGGATATTAAAATTTACTTTCAATTGCTTGATTAGTATTCAGCCAAGTTTGACTTTTAAAGACTCTCAATCATTTGTCTTTCCTTGCCTCATGCAGTGGTTTTATCAGCTACCTTTATGGCATAGTTTTCATTCCCCTCTCGCTTTTGATTTTGTAGTCTGCAAAAGCCCCTGTTATGGGCTGAACAGTGCCTCCTCAAAACTCACATGTTGAAGTCTTAATATTTGAGGTTGTATCCACTTTTTTTTTCTTTTGAGACGGAGGCTCGCTCTGTCACCCAGCCTAAGGTGCAATGGTATGATCTCAGCTCACTGCAACCTCCGCCACTCGTGTTCAAGCTACTCCCCTGCCTCAGTCCCCTGAGTAGCTGAGATTACAGGCACCCACCACCACGTTTGGCTAATTTTTGTATTTTAAATAGAGACAGGGTTTCACCATGTTGGCGTGGCTGGTCTTGAACTTCTGACCTCAAGTGATCCACCCACCTTGGCCTCCCAAAGTGCTGTAATTACAGGCGTGAGCCACCACGCCTGGCCTGTATGCACTTTTCTGAAACATAAATATTAGCTATATGTGTAGCTCAGGCTGAAAAAGTTAATATTTTGGAAAGAGTATGTAGTCTCAAAAATTACATACATTATTTTTTGAATTATTTTTAAATCCTGAGAGCTCATAGGGAAAACAAGAACTATTACTGTTTTCTATTAGCTTGTGCTGGTCTAATAGAGCTTTAAATTAAAAATTCTCATAACCTAGATTCTGAGATTCAGGCCTAAAAATGCAGAATGACTATTTGGGATTTAGAGACTTCAGGGATGACAAATATTAAAAAATAATATTAAATCACTTATTTATTTTTTCTATATTAAATACCCCTTTTCTCTATGACCATTACTCCTTCTCCTGGCTCTTCTCTAGCACGGGTCCTGCCTCCTACTTTTGCTTCCCAAACCTTTGTTTGCCACAAAATACTACAAGTCACTAACCCGACCTAATAAGTAACACTTTTTTGTGCCACTGCCTTTACTCACCTGGGACATCTTAGCTGGGTTCCCTTTTTCTCCTTTTCCTAATGCTCCTGGAGAATACATTTTCAATTATTATTAATTTAAAAATCTTTTTGAACTGAAATAGACTTCAGAAAAGTACATACATATGAAATTTATTTTTGAAATTCTTTACTTAATCTAGATTTACAAATGCATTACTTTGAAGTTTGTTATTCTCCTATAATTTTTTAGTCTTGTTATTATTTCCCATTTCATTTGTAACAACTATTTGTAGCTTTTTATCTTGAATATACTTGCTAAAGTGTCTTCTTAATCTTTCAAAACACCGGTTTTTGCTTTTATTTGTCGGTTTTTTACTTTTTGTCCTGTGGTTTGTTGGTTTATGCTTTTATTTATATTATCTTTTTATTTTCTTTTGTCTATTTTATTTTCCCGGGATCCTGTGTTCAGAGCGTAGATCACTTATTTTTCATCTTCTTTTCAAACGGATACATCTAAGTTCATACATTTTTTTTCTCAGACTTGCCTCAGCCCTACCCTCAAGTTTTGTTATATAGCATTTTATTTTGTTATTCAGATCCAGATAGTTTACCGGTTTCATTTTGATTTTTGCTTTAACCTAATAATTATTTGGAATTGTGTGTGTTCATGCATGTGTGTGTGTGTGTGCGTCTTTAATTTTCTTGTATGTGTGGTTTTTTTAGTGGAATTTCTTGTAATTGTCGACAAGTAATTGCAGCCTGTATACTATCACCTTTATGGAATTTGCTGACATTTCCAATGTGGTATAGCACATGGTAAATTTTTGTGGCTGTAATCTGTGTGTTTGAAAATGATATGTAGTCTTAAGTGTATGGTAGACATTTTTGTATAGCTACTCAGTCAGGCTTGTTAAGTGCATTACACAACTCCTCCATATCCCTCCTTATTAGTTGGTGGTTACTTGGTTGGTTTCTGAGAGGGATGTTCAGCCTCTCACTGTGATTACGAATTTGTCCATTTTGCTTTGTAGGGCTATCAGTATTTGCTTTTTATATTCCCCTCTGTGGTACCCCAGTTAATCATCTTCCTTGTCTCACTGGGCCCTGTGGTCCCGGGTGTCTACTACTGAGGCTGTGAAGAAGCCTAGTTACTTCTCAGCTTCCACAGCTAAACTTTCTCTTGCACATTTTGTGTCCTTTGTTCTCTTTTTAATTTGAACTCTGCTTTTAGGATTTCTTTTAATGTCTAGTCCTCTGATAATTCTCCTTCTTGTTTTTGAGCATTGAACATTTAAAATGTTTAAATTATTCTAAAGTAACTTCTACATGAATTTGATAGAAGAGGCTGAGGAGAGGCTAAAGCATATGCTCATTTCAAGCATTTCAAGATTAAACTTGAGTTATTCTAAGACACCTTTAATGGTCTTTCTCTTAAACTCTCCAGATTCTCCTTTTATCATGCCACCTCTTGCCCTGACTTTACAACCTATGTGTGCCCCTTTCGCATTGTTATAAAGGAACTACCTGAGATTGGGTAATTTATAAGGAAAGGAGGTTTATTTAGTTCAGAATTCTACAGACTATACAAGAAGCATGGCTCTGACATCTGCTTCTGTTGTGGGCCTCAGGAAGCTCCCAGTCATGGTGAAGTGGTAAGGGGAAGAGGCTCAGATGAGAGAGGAGGAGGGTACCAGGCTCTTTTTAACAATCAGTTCTCCCATGGAATAACACAGTGAGAACTCACTTATAACCACAAGAAAGGTACTAAGCCGTTCATGAAGGATTTCCCCCATGACCCAAACACCTCTGACTCTAGGCTCCACCTCTAACATTGAGGATCAAATTTCAGCACAAGATTTGGATTTGGAGGAGGCAAAGTGTATCACAACCCCACCAATCTTGTTTCAGTTTCTCAATGCAGAAAGATCTGTCCTGACACAAGACTTTTACATATCAGAATTCTCTGCCTGGAATTGCCATTTTCCCCATGATTGACCTGATAACCATATTTATCCTTGAGAAATGAGATAAAATGTCACTTACTTAGACCCATCTTCGGCAATCTAATATAAATCAGGCCGTTCAATTCTTTTTTTATTCTTTTTTTTAACTTTTATTTTAGGCTCAAGGGTATATATATACAGGTTTGTTATATAGGTAAATTGCATGCTGCAGGAGTTTGGTGTATTAGTCTGTTTTCACACTGCTGTAAATAAATACCCAAGACTGGGTAATTGATAAACACAAAAAGTTTAATTGACTCACTGTTCTGCATGGCTGGGAGGCCTCAGGGAGGCTTACAATCATGGCAGAAGGAGAAGCAGTCAAGGTGGCAGGAGAAACAGAGAGAAGCCCAGGGGAAACTTGCTGTTTATAAAGCCAACAGATCTCGTGAGAACTCCCTCACTATGATGAGAGCATGGGGGAACCACCCCCATGATCCAGTCACCTCCCACCCACCAGGTCTGTCCCTCAACAGGTGGGTGGGACAGGCGTTGAATTATAATTCAAGATGAGACTTGGGTGGGGGCACAAAGCCTAAACATATCATTCGATATACAGATTATTTCATCACCCAGGTAAGGATGTCTATTTTTCCCTTCTTTGTGTCCGTATGTACTCAGTGTTTTAGCTCCACTTATAAGTGATAATATGCAGTATTTGGTTTTCTGTTTCTGCATTAATTTGCTTAGGAAAATGGCTTCCAGCTCCATCTATGTTGCTGCAAAAGACATGATCTTATTCTTTTTATGGCTTCATAGTATTCCATGGTGTATGTGTATCACATTTTCTTTATCCAGTCTACCATTGATGGAGATTTAGGTTGATTCCATGTCTTTGCTATTATGAATAGAGCTGCAGTGAACATACACGTGCATGTGTCTTTATGGTAGAACAATTTATATTTCTTTGGGTATAATACCCAACAATGGGATTGCTAGGTCAAATGGTACTTTCGCTTTAAGTTCTTTGAGAAATTGCCAAACTGCCTTTCACAATGGCTGAACTAATTTACATTTCCCCCAGCAGTATATAAGCATTTCCTTTTATTCACAACATTACCAGCATCTGTTTTTTGGGGTTTTTTTATTTTTTTATTTTTATTTTTATTTTATTTTTGTTTTTAATGATAGCCACTCTGACTGGTGTGAGGTGGTATCTCACTGTGGTTTTGGTTTGCATTTCTCTAATGATTAGTGATGTGGAGCATATTTTTTCATATGCTTGTTTACCACATGTATGCCTTCTGTTGAAAACTGTTCATGTCTTTTGTTCACATTTTAATGGTGTTGTTTGTTTGTTTCTTGAATATTTGTTTAAATTCCTTAGAGATTCTGGATATTAGACCTTTTCTGGATGCACAGTTTGCAAAAATCTTCTCCCATTCTGTAGGTTGTCTGTTTACTCTGTTGATAGTTTCTTTTACTGTGCAAAGGTCTCTAGTTTAATTACGTCCCATTTGTCAACTCTTATTTTTGTTGCAATTGCTTTTGGTGTCTTCATCATAAAATCTTTGCTAGTCCTATGGCCAGAATGATGTTTTCTAGGTTATCTTCCAGTGTTTTCGTAGTTTTAGGTTTTACGTTTAAGTCTTTAATTCATCTTGAGTTGATTTTTGTATATGATATAAGGAAGGGGTCCAGTTTCAATCTTCCACATATGCAGGCCTTTCAATTCTAGTTTCTTGCAGTACCTGTACTTTATTTCAGTTTAGCATATTTCATATACCTAATTAATTATTCACTAATTTATTCTTTCTTCCAAATTTAGTTTCAGATTCAAATTGGTCAGAGACTATGTCTATTTGTTCTTCAATGTATTCTTATTGCCAAGACATTACTGGAAATATGTAGGTATTTAAAGAATATCTGTTAAATGAATAAATAAATACCAGCCCCAAATAGTTGCACACTTTGGGTAGGGGTTAGGAAGATCACAGGAACTAGTATCAAGCTAAAATTCCATATAGACACGACACGTTGATTTTAAGGAGATATATCTAGTCTGAGAATTTAGGAAAATCATAATAGCTACAAGTGCAAGACATTTTGTATTTATTACAGCTAATCTTTACATTAACATTGAAATTTACAGATAAGTTGAGGATTAGGGAAATCAAGTAACTTACACAAGATCAAGTTATTTATAATAGCAGACCTGGGATTCAAAACCAGATATGCTTGTTTCCAAAGCTTTTCCTTTCTTTACACTTCTACCCTTTCCACCACTATGCAATATTTGATATCTAAGAAGTATTACTAATTTTATTTTGGAGGCAATTTATTTTAAGAAAACCAAAATGACATTTTCAGCTTTGGAATTCATCTAAACTGAGACAAATACAAAAATCTAGCTACTAATATAGATTTAAAAAATTATTTGTACAACTGAAGAAATATTGAAAGATATCACTTTGCACTAAGTTGTTAGTTTCTGTGGACTTCTCTAACAAATTTTATTGAGTTCAATTTACCAAAGTAAATAAGCATGACCATAAGAATTGATGGAGATATGTGAGAACCGCTGTTTATTTCTTCATTAAGGCTGCGTAGATGAGCTCCATTTAATACCAAGTCTAGTTCTTCTGTACATTAAGATAGCAACTCAAGTCAGTTTGGGCCATCCAATTCTTCCACATAAAGTTGGCTAAAACATCTGGATGATTGATCAAACATCTGGATGATTGATTAAATATGTGACTGAACTGATGGAACACTTGGGCATCATAAAAACAAACCAAGAGCTATTTTTGCCTGACTCTAAGAAATGGGAAAATAAATACTTCTCTTCAAGACTTTTCTTCACCTGGCTAATAATCTAAATGTGGCTCCTAAGAAGATGAACATTGTGTGTGTTTTATATTCCTCTCATCTCTAGAGGGGTTTTGTTTATTTAGTTTCTGTGGCTGAATGTTAAAACAAAATGAAAAGAACAAATTGGAAAGAGTTTTACAAAAATAATAGGTTCACCCCACCCTTATTACAACATTAATTTATTTAGCCAGTTTTTTAAATAAGTAGTTTTGCAATAAAAGCAATAAATAAAAGATATAAAAACCTAGAATTTCCCAGATTATAAAAATTCAGAAAGAAAAACTTGAGTAATACTTAATATATCAACATGAAATATAGCTACATAAGAAAATGTTAAATGATAAACCCAAGAAAGTAATGAATAAAAGAAGAGAGAAACTGAATATAATACCTTTGAAAGAGTGTCATGTGAAATCCAACAATAATAGCTCAGTTACTACAATGATACACACTGACAAAAAGCTCAAAACATAGTAATTATTAGGCTGGGTGCAGTGGCTCACGCCTGTACTGCCAGCACTTTGGGAGGCCGAGGCGGGCGGATCACAAGGTCAGGAGTTCGAGACCAGTCTGACCAACACGGTGAAATCCGTCTCTACTAAAAATACAAATTAGCTGGGCCTGGTAGCGCATGTCTGTAATCCCAGCTACTCAGGAGGCTGAGGCAGGAGAATCACTTGAACCTGGGAGACGGAGGTTGCAGTGAGCTGAGATGGTGCCATTGCACTCCAGCTAGGCAACAAGAGAAAAAAACTCCATCTCAAAAAAAAAAAAGAATTATTAATTTTATTAAACAATAATTTAGCTAATATTAAAATAATTTATACTTTCTCGAATTACTGATTTTGAAAATTTATTTTATTTACTTTTTTCCATTTTTATTCACTTTTAAATATGTTCATTTCCAGCATAAAGAATGCTGCTGTCTCTCCTCTATGTGGCCCATACATGAAAAGTGTCTATTGGATTTGTTGGAAACAAATAAAGATAAGTGTAAAATGGCAATTAAGAACATAGGTCTGGAGCCATATTACGTTTCCTTCTAAATCACATGTGCAAAAGAGTCACAACCAGTGCATATAAAATTGCCTCTAATTTCTATTTGTATGACTGCAGTAAAGTTATTTAATCTATCTGTGTCTCTATTTGCTTCATTGGCTAATAACAATAAAAATAATGATAACCCTTGTTCAGTTGCAGTGTACCAAAGTAAGAAAGAAAATTTAAAAAAAAAATAAACCAACAAGGTCATTTTGAGAATAAGATTGATCATATACACAAAGCAATAGTACTTGATGTAGAAAAAAATGCTCAAAGCCATCAAGAAGAAAATTTACTGGTATATTTCTAGCATTAGCTATATAAACAGTATTCTATAATTATTTGTTTATATTTGTTTAATGAGCAGTCTAGTGTCCATCTTTTTCACAGAAAAATGCATAGAAAACAATTACACAAACTACTATAGGCAAGGAGAGTGCAAAGGATAAAGTACAGGGAAAATTAGGCTTTTTTTTTTAGTGCAAAGGGGATATAACAGACACTCGTCTTTTGTCACATGCTTCCTTGAACATTTTACAAACTCTTTTTTACAGCCTTGAAATCTTGTTTTGACTCCCCATTCTCTATGTCACAAACCACAAAGGTCACTAATAATTAACCCCTTTTCAGGTTTCATCTTCAACATGCTCCCTCCCACAGCACATGACAACGTAGAGCAATCCCTGTCTCTCTCCCCTTTCCATTTGCCTTAAATAACATGACAGTGTGTTGATTTTTTGTTTTCTTCATTTTCCTCCCAGTCTTCTTTGTTCTTTGATGTATTTTTTTCTTTATGTTGCATGCCTTTTCTTGGACATACTCCAAGACTTTGTATACTAGATAAATGAGATACCATATATGAAACATCAAACCCAGTGTCTGATATATAAGGGATCAAAACATTTAAGTTCCCTTTCTTCTCTTATGCCCTACTTATCTCAGTGATGTCATCATGCTCAGGACTTTAATAATCACTTCCACATAGACAGGGCTTAAATATTTGTCTTCTACTAACTTCTCTCCTCAGATTTACTTCCCTGTTCCTACCTGCCCACTGAATAACCATCAGGTCGACCTCAATTCTTCTTTTCCCTACCCTGACCCACATACCACTACCCCCAACTTCTGTGTAAGTCCTCTAACTTATCTACTTATGGCACTGGTGATTTATTTTGATCCTGCTGTAAATATCAAACCTTGCTTTCACCCTTTGTTGTCACCTGTAAAAATCACTAGGTACTAGAGGATCTACCTTCACCATGTCTATCACGTTCACGTTCTCTTTTAAATTCTCATTATCACCTTACTTGTTCAAGACTGTTAAACACTCAGTGCTAGATAATTTATCATAGACTCAAAACTGCTTATTCCAAATCTATGTTTTCATCATTTTATTGTCACTACTACTACATTAATCTTCCTACATATGTATATGGAGCATTTCTTTGATTATACCAATTTTTTAAAAAGTTTCTCAAATACAAACTCAATGCTTTCTATGTATTTATAGACTTAGCATTCATGATTTTAATTCTTCCACCATGTTTCAAGAAAGCTACATTAGTAAGAGCTCCCTGCTTCTGCCTTGTTCTTTCTTACCCTTTTTTATCTTCCATATGAGATTGTTCCCCTACAATCATGACTGACTGACATTAAACCTATAATTCAAGTCTCAGTGTAGGTACCACGGTCTCCATTGAGTAATTCTATTCACTTTTCAAGCTTAGACAGCGAAAACATATGTAACACAACTTTTCGTTGTTCACAGGATTCACCACAGTGCCTTGCACATTGCAAGTAACTGATACCTGTTTGATGAATGCAAGGATAGATTTGTTTTTCTTGGGTTCCATGTACTTATTATCACTATGTGCTGTAGAATAAAGACCTTTGAGAGCAGGGGCCTTGTCCTGTGTTTCATGTTTCATTTCTCCACAGTTCCCAGTAACGTTCCAAAAACACTTAAAAATAAGAGAAAAGGGTAAATTTTATTTATATTGTTGGTTTTGAAGAGAGCAGATAGTTCTATCTCACAGTTAGAAATATGAAATGACAGCTAGCTGTGGTTAGAATGAGCCATGCCCAGAGGCCTAATTTGAGTTATCAAAAATGCAATTTCAGCAGCAGGAGCAACAACCACTGTAACCACCATCCGTTTGGAGCAAAATATGATAGGCCTTACACTCAAAAAGGCTCAGCATTTGTGATAAAGAAAAATCGAAACAGAAGCCAATAAAAGGAATGGTCAAAGGGTCCTTTGGTGCTGTTGATGTCTTCACCAGCAGACAGGACTGAACACGGGATACTGGAGTTGGGGGGATTCTGAGCCACACCTTGTGTGAAAGGGGCTTAAATTTTCACTTCAGCTTCCTAAGAGGGGATTCACTAACATAGGTCTATTTTCTTCTTGCAGATTTGGTGATGAATAAGGCAAAGTATAGAAGAGGGAGAAGGCCTCCCTTTTCTGGCACACAATACAAATGTGGCCTAAACTCTGTTTTAAAAACAATTTGGGAAAGTGTTCTTTACCGGCTCTTGGTGGTGAGAGGCTTATATGAGGTGATTGATAAGGACCTTAGAGGGTTTTTTTTAAGCATAAATTTTCTCCATTCTCTTTTTTTCTTTTTTTCTCCCTCATGAGTATTTAGACCCTGACCAGTTTTATAGAAAGACCAGCTCAAGGAAAATAGGTTACTGAAAATGAGCTTTAGAGAAAACAGTCCTAGGGTTAAATCCCAACTCTTTCACTAGGGTAAAACAAAGATAATTACAAACAAAATGAAACAAAACAACAAATATGAACAAAAAATAATAGCAGCTTCTATCTGTTGAGCACTTACTCTGTATCAGTCACTATGCTGAGAACTATCCATTTATTTTTTCATTTACTCTTCATATCAGTCCTGTGAGGAAGGTATTACTATTTGCATTGTGCAGGTGAAGAAAATTTAGCTTCAGAAAAGTTTTGGTCTCGATTATGTGAATGTAAAGACTATTTTCTTCATCCTTGTGGTTTGCCCCTCTGATTCTACAATGCTGCCCCTTAATTAACTCCTCTGAACATCAGACAGATGGAAAAGCAGAGTCTAGCCATATTCCCTTCTGATAGTGAATTCTGTGCATTGGATTTAAATTTAGGATATTTTATTCCATATTAAAGAGTTTCTTAACTTTATTTCACTTTGTACTGTTCAGACTTGGCTTACATTTGGTACTCATGAGCAGCAGCAAAAGTAAAATGAATTGCAAGTTACTGGCTCAAAGGAAAGGCTTTTTTTTATACTGAAATTTTTGAGCACTTAAGTAAACAATCAGAAGCATGAGGGCCATATGAACAATATATTAATATGTCTTCACAGAGTTTACAGATTCAAAGCAAACACTTTTGGAAAGGATAAAGATCATTCATTAGTAATTTTTAATCAGTACCATAATTAGAATTCTAAGAAGAATTGTTAAGACTGTGTAATGGTTAATTTTATGTGTCAACTTGCATGGGCCATGATACCCATTATTCTGATTGTTTCTGTGATGTGTTTTTGGATAAGATTTCATTTAAGTCAGTGGACTTTGAGTAGGAGACTGCCCTCTATGCTATTGCTAGGCCTTAACCTATCAGTTGAAGGCCTGGATACAACAAAAGATCAACCTTCCTCAAGCAAGAGGGAATTCTCCAGGAGACTGCTTTTGGACTTCTGCAACATCAGCTCTTCCTGGTCCCTCAGCACACTCACTGCGGTTCTTTCCAGAGTCTCCAGCTTGCCCACCTCCCCTTCATACTATGGGCTCACCAAGCCTCCAAAATCATATGAGCCAATTCCTTAAAATGTTTGTGTGTTTGTGTGTGTGTGTGTGTGTGTGTGTTCAGTTGTCCCTCAGTATCCATGGGGAATTGGATTCAGGACCTCCATAAGTTACCAAAATCCGTGGATGCTCAAGTCCCTAATATAAAATGGCATAGCATTTGCATATAGCCTATGCACATCCTTCCATATACTTTAAATCATCTCTAGATTACTTACAATGATTAGTGCAATATATATGCTATGTAAACAGTTATTTACCCTATTGTTTAGGGACTAATGACCAAAAAGTCTGTACATGTTTGGTAGAGATGCAACTTTAGTTTCTGAATATTTTAGATTCATAGTTGGTTGAATCAATGGATACAGAACTCACAGATACAGAGGGTTGACTGTATATACATATATATCTTGTTGGTTCTGTTTCTCTGGAGAACCTTAAGTAGTACAGACTGTTATAGCAGCATCAATCCATACTTGAGGAAAAGTTTCATCATTCTTTTGAAATTTTGAAATGAATAATTCCATTGGATTAGAAATCTATTAGGATGACCAGCACACATTTTGAGATAATCACATTCAATGAAAGAACACAAAGAGCTATTAGGTTTAAGGGTTTCAATTATTAGAGACCATTTACATAGTTTAAGTTATTTAAATTCTGGTTAATGTTGAGAAAGAAGTTTGTATCAATATAGAAAGAGTGATTAATACATCTCTGCCATTTGCTACTACCAGTTTGTAAGACTAAAGTTTCCTGTAGATTGATGACTATTATGATTTCAGAGAGGTCATCATTTAACAGTGTTGATTAGAAATTTGGTGAAGTCACTTGAAGCACAAATCCTGGTATAAAGGCTATATTTATATTTATAAACTGAAATTTCTTACTAGAACAAATTTTAAAGATTTTCTTTCAACATTTTATAAAAATTAAATTATTTGTTTTTTCCCTAAAACTTTATAATTTATTTTTTATTGTAATTATATAACCGAAATAAAAGGCAATGATTACTTTTTAAACCAGGATCTATGTAGATGCTAAAACCCTCCACACCAGTGTACCACATAAATATTATGTTTCTATGTATCATAATGTGAAAAAGATTAAAAGTGCTGTTGTAGAGAACAAAAAAATTGGACTCTTTTTCTAAAGGCAATATAGAATAATTGAACTCGGTAAAACTAAAAGGACATGAAAGATTTTAATATAATTCTGCTTGCCACATTATACCTAGATGGTTTTGAGGTTTCATGCCAGGAAGTGCTTTAGAGATGTTTCAGATTTTAAAAGATTTCAGCTACAGCTGCCTCATCATGATGAACAAGACAAGACAAGACCAGATACATACAGACCATCTGAGGTTGTTGCAATAATCCAGGTGAGAGATGATGTAGTTTGAATCAGGGTAGTGTCAGTGGTAAGGAGAGAAGTAGAAAGATATAGGAGATATTTATGAATTAGACTCAATGGGATTTTTATTGATTTTTTGTGAAGGGTAATGAAGAGAGAGGGAAAAATAAAGGTTTCTGGCTTAAACAACATAAATTGGCAACAGTACCAATGAAGAGCTCTGTGTTACCCAAGAGTGTGGTGTAGCATGACATTCACATTAATCCTCACCTTCTTCATCCACAGAGCATGTGGCGGCCCTCAGATCCTGTCCTCAAAGAGGCCAAGGAGCACAAGAAAACCATCAGCCCCTTGATATTTTCTGCTTTGACCAAAAATAATGCGAATAGCTTTTTCCTCTTTCACAATGTCTCACAGCCCTTCCCAGAATTCTGGGTCACGTAAAAGGAACACCATTCAGAGCTATCTAACCTAAATTTAGGCAACTATATTGTAGCTTCTTGACCTAATCTGTATTTCCCTGAAGTGGAATCTTACTTCTTAATCATTCCCACCTACCCCCATTATAATATGTATCGTTGTAGTACAAATTGTATTTGTTTAAGGAAATTGGGTGCCTTTGGGGGATTTCCTCTTCAGGAGTGGAAAAGACAACCAGACAGGGAAGTAGTATTAATAGATCAGAACACATTCAAGATTGAGGAGGATCTTGGAAACCTTGATCCATCTTTTTTTTTTTATTTTACAGACAGAAAAATTGCAGTCCAGAGGTAAGGTACCATAGGCTGGGACAAGGGAAGATACAGGACAGAATGTGAAAGAAGGTTACCAGAAATAGAGATGTAGATAAATTAATGAGTCAGCTCAATTCTTCTATCTTAATCACCACAATATTTCACCAAAATTAAGATATCAACAGTTGTAAGGTGTGAAAAAAAGCACTGCCCATTAAATTTTGACAAAATGCTAAGATGTCACCACTGTAAGATATATCTCAATTTCAGATTTGTTAAGTATTAAACATATTTCGGTGTCTTAGAATTGAGAAACTCTGATAGCAAACTTTCCAATCAAAATTCCTATGGCACAACAAACAAAAATTACAAAAAAAATAAAAAACAATTTCTATGGCAGATGGTGACATTTCTAGCCTACTTTTAAAAGTCAAGAATCTCTTAAACACTATGATACCACTATGATACACAATCAGAAATTATATCCACTCAAGACTCTAAAACTCTTATTTTTTTCTATATTATAGAAAAATGAACTTACAATTATGTGTTTGGGCTCATTCAAAATTTTGGTTACAAAAAATTCCAATGATATGTAATTAGTTATTCATATTGAATGACTATAAACCTCTTATATAATTTGAAGAGGTCACAAACCACAGACTTCTACCTTCTGCTTTATTTCAAAGCTTATAGCAGTCTAAGTAACTCTGGAAACATTCAGATGATACAAAATGCACACTTACTTTTATTTTGTAAGCATCCCTTAAACATGAGTCATTAGATAAATTTCTTGTTCTAAGTAAATTTACTGGATTATTATTAAGTAATAAAATATTAAGCCAAAAATGGATAATGAGAGCACATGCTCTAAATTGAAGGAAGGAAAAAATAAGAAAATATGTGATGTAGTAAAGTGCATGAACATGTAAATGTTTTCCAGCCTTCTTAAGTAGGAACTGTTTTTTCTTTTGAGAGTACATTCTTGCATGACATGCATGGAATAACATTTTGGGGGTGTAATTAGAAAAGCAGCACTGAAATCTACCTTCCTGCAATGTGGCATGACTTAACCCTAAGAGGAGGAGTATAATATCAAAGCATACATTTTGCTTTAAGTTGACAGATCACTTGGAATCGTCTCCCAACAGACTTACTATGGTTGAGAAATGCATATTTCAGATTTGTCATAAGAGATTATCGTATGTTCTGCTCACCACATTGCGTCTAGGTGGCCTTTGGGTTTCAATGCTGGGAAGTACACTTCTTATATTTCAGAATTTAAGAGCTTTTGGAAACAACAACCTCATTGCATTCTTCAGAGGGACATGTTACACAAACACTCAGAAAATTACATAGATTAATATAGACTCAAGGAGTCTATATTCAAGGCAAGGAGTTTAATGCAGAAAAACATCAAGACAATATTAAAAGATTCCATACTCCTGACTTTCTTATACAAATCTTGTGTATTGTAAACAAAACAAAATAAAACAGCTCCTTAAAAAATTCTACTTTCAGTTGTATTATCTCTTAGATGTTCTTTTATTAAAGTTTAGAGAATCTCAATATTTGCTATTCTTTTCATTAAAACTTTATTTGAGATTTGCTGGTAATGTCTAACACTGGTTTTATTTGATCTCACATTAAAGTCACAATACTTTTTAAGAGTACAGATGAAATATCATTCAATATAATTTTTCACAAATCTTTAGCAATGTATGGAAATAGAGGGGGCATCAAATGATATCAGAAGTAGAGTTTTCTTTCACACCTTTACTTCCTTCAGTTTCAGGGGAGAAAATGAAGATGATGTGCTTAAGTAAGAAATACCAGACAGAACAGAAGTGAGCAGGGTGCTATAGCTTTGCTGCTGGTTGTCTATTTGATAAACTTTTATTAGAACAGGCAAAAATATGCAAACATCAAATCCATCAAACTGACCAAACTCAGCAACAGTTAACCAAGATTACCCACAAGAAGAAAAAGATAGGAGTGGTACTATATGAATTAGCCATTGGGTGATCCCTGCCATCCAAAAATTGTCATCCAAAATTTTCTTCCTATTTTTTTTAATCCTCAAGGATTATTATAAGTGATTTTCACAATTGCAAAGTAAACTGAAGCTCCAGGAAAAGGATTTTAAAATAGTTTATGTTTAAATATCATAATTTATCTTTACCTACTCCTCGTTTTCTTCTTATGAAAACATGTGTTTTTTTAATCTTGTGGACCATCTTTTTTTTGCAGCCCAAGTAATTGAGATTGACCATGCAATTATTATGTCCAACCACCAGTAGTTCAATTTCATAATAAATTTTATCTTGAGTTTAAACACTAACTAATTCATCATGTACCAAATGACTCTCCTAAGGGTGCATATGTGTACAAGGGTGTGTGTGCATACCTGTGCATCTTCAGAATTGTAAAAAATTTCAATAGGCTACAATCCCAAAAGCGCAAATCTCTTATTGTAATTTATGTGCTAAAAATAATAGTGTACTTTAGTAAATTTCTGACCTACTGACCAACTTTATTTTCAGCAAGATTTCGTGTGGAATTTGTAATTTCATTTATTCAGCCTATTAACTAAGCTAAAAAGACTACGGCAACTCTGCAGAGAGTTACCTAATTTAGTTGTGTAACTGGAAATGAAGATGTGTCCTTCCCTTGTTAGAGCAAGCGGAAGGGATTCAACTGTGATGTTGTTCTAGGGACCTGCGTGGGATTCAGAGATGAGATGCCTTCTGGCTTACTTCACTGTAGGCCATCCTGGGAAATTTCAAGTCGTTCATAAATATACATACCAAAATCAAATTCTAAATTACAAACAGAATAAGATGAGTAAGCAAAGATCAAAGTGAAGAAGGTGTGGAATTTTGGAGTGCCAGTGGGTAGAATGGTGTGCCATGGGAAGGAGAGAGGAGCATCCTGGAGACGCTCCTTTCACCAACAAGGTAAGGGAGTGGTTTATCAAATTTCTTTGGTCCATAGGTATTGACAAACGTTGTGGGCTTCAGGTTCTAGCCTAGGGCAGAACAAAGCCGACAACCTGCAAAACTAGTTAGATCTCTTTTGACTGATAGGATTCAAAGACCAACTAATAGGTTTTATGGCACTTTCACACTCATGAGTCAGTTTCTTGACACATTTTGTCTCCTTGTTTTTTTTATCCTGAGGGCATTTATTTAAATATGTATTCACCACTGACATTTTAGGATATTCTAGAAAACATCAAAGCAGGAAATCTTGTTGAGCAAGACTTTAAACCACCATCCCAACCCAACACATACTTCTAATCTTTGATGCTAGCTAGACATGATTTTATGAAGACGTGAGCTGAGAGTCTTTTACAGCAGTGTGCGTATATGAGAATCAGACTAGTGGTGTTGAGAAAGTTTTAAATGTCATATTCAGCAGTTTAATTACTGTGTGTGTGTGTGTGTGCATGTAATCATGCTTATTTGGCTATTAACCTCAAGGTAAGGGATGAGATTTTTTATACTCATTGAAAGGGAACCTGGGCTAAAAAGTTGAGAGATGCATTCCTATTTTATGTGGCATTAGGGCTAAGTATGCTTGCTTTCCAATCTACAAGGGTGAGTGGAGGCAGAGCACACATATTTGTCGTGTATGGCACAGGCAGCTGAGAGTTGCAGTGAAAAAGGCTGAAAGGCTGAACTGCAATGTGGAAGGCTGAGACATGCTGGTCTCTTGACCCTGTATCTTAGATCATCTTGGTCAACAGTAGAGTATTGTTACATGATATCACACTGCTTCTCCTTTCATGTACTGGATTCATGCTTTTAAAAGAATTTATTGATGTTTCTAGTGCAGATTTATAACTACCAAATTCATCTTAAGTACTCACCTTGCAGGTCACTTCATACTCAAGGTTATAGACAGCATTCCTAAGCTTTGTCCTCATGGAGCTCATTAAGGAGCGTAGAACATAATGGAACTAAAGACTGAGACATAGACAGGTGGAAGTACAATATGGCACCGTTGGCCTTAGCAATGTATATAATACACCAAAGGATGGAAGGATAAATATTTGTTGAAATATTTTTGTTAAAACACATTATTCTGGACTTATGCACAAGCAATAAAAAGATAAAAGTAGACATATGAAGGATTGTTTCAACAAATAGAAAGGGCATTAATAGGTTTTGCCAAAATCCTTAAAGACATAATTTGTATATCTTTTGTCATAAAGTCATGTGACATATATTTATAGAGAAATATAAAAATACATGTGGGCTAAATGTTTGTGGCTAAAAATACTTAATAAATCAAGTGCCCTATTAGAATTTGGCTGGAGATGTTGATGTTATTTTAGTTTCCGTGAGCAACTACTAGGATACTTTTGGCAAATGAGGTGGTTAAAGGAGGGTCGTAAAAAATAATCATAAATTATTACAGGTTTTATGGCATACAATTCACAGTGTTTTCCAAATTTGTGGCCTAAGCTATGTATCTGTGATGGATGAAAATCTCATTTTTTAATTCCAAAAATTCACAAAATATATTTCCAGATTATTGTTTTCAAGGATCCTTTAGCAATAAAATAAGCAGTTAAAATGAATATCCTCTGCATCACACTAAGAAGCAGAGAATAACTTGTGGCTAGGTATCCCAAATTTCAAGTCAGGTTCCTTCTAGACACATCTGTGCACCAAATGAAAATGCAAAGCATTTCATTATATAGTATATCATTTGATTTCCAATTAATAAATGGAAGACTTACTTCTAACAGTTTCTTTCTCTGTTCACATCTAGATATATAATATGAAATGTGGAAGGAAGTTCTAGTTTGATAGTGTCTCAATTACAATTGCCAAAAGTAATTATCTATATTTCCAAAAAAGACAGTCATCTCTCTTTCAGGCAGTAGACAAAACATTTTAAATGGGTTTTAAACACTCCTTCTACATGAGTGTATCTCTTTCCCAATGAACCTCAGTACACTTTGTTATTAGCTATCCTTGCTGTTAGGCAGAGGAATTGCAAAATTTATTCTGCATATCCTTATCTTTACTACTATTGGAAAAGCAGAAAAGATTGCTGAAATAGCTTCATTTACTGAGTGTTGGAACAAACTTACCAGTTAAGAATAATTGTAGAGTATAAATAATGAAAAAATGTATTGAGGAAAGAAAGGAAAAATATTATATTGTCTGTTTTATAATTCAAGCTAAGATGGCAAGAAATGACTTAAAAATGTGTTTTGTTTTTAAATTATAGATTCACAGGAAGTTGAAAATGGAAAAAAGTAGTATTACCTTCCACTCAGTTTCCCCCAGTGGTTGCCTGCTACACAACTGTAGGACAGTATCAAAACCAGAAAAATCAACATTGCTACAATATTAATACTTTATCATGGGTGTAGATTTGTGTAATGACCACCACAATCAAGACACAGAACTGTGACATCACCACAAATGTCACTCTTTTCTCTCCTTATCCTTTTATAGCACTCTCCTGCCGCCATCCATAACCTCTGGCAACCTTTAATTTGTTCTCCATCTCTGTAATTTTGTCATTTCCAGCATGCTATATAAATGGAATCATACAATACACGGCCTTTAGAGACTGGCTCTTCTCCACACAGCATGGTACCCTTGAGATTCATCCAAGCAGTTGCATATATGAACAGTTCATTTATTTTCATTGGAATAAATGCCCAGCAGTATCAATGCTGGGTCATATAATAAGTGTATGTTGAATTTTTAAGAAACTACCAAACTGTTTTCCAGAATGACTGTAACATTTTACATTCTCCCCAGCAATGTATGAGAGATCCAGTTTCTCTGCATCCTCCCCTGCATCTGGTATTGTCACTATTTTCACTTTGGCTGTTCTAATAGGTGTTTGATGATACTTCATTATGGTCTCAGATTGCATTTCCTTAATGCTAATGATTTTGAACATCTTTTCATGTACTTATTGTCATCTGTATATCCTCTTCAAATAAGTTATGTCTATTTATTTTAAATATATTTATAGGATACAAATTGATATCACAGAATATCAAGTGATTTCTTTAAATAGTAAGTATATTTGTTAATCAAATATGTTGGATTTTTCTGTAAAGGGTCCTTGGTGACAACCCCAGGAATTATATGCAATAAAATTACAATGGATATACAATTCTATAATCAAGGACTGTTAGTCGAGTTTAAGAAACATTTTCAAACAGTAAAAAAAAATATAAATAGCAAACTCCCCAAATAAACCAAGTAAAATAAAAAGCTAAACCCTCAATGTTTTCCACATAATTTTAAAACCATGAGTAAGGTTGTAATTGTAAGACAATACAAAGGAAAGTCTGATGATAATGTTTTGTCTAGAAAAAAAATATTTTGTACAGAATAAGTTGATTTAATGAATGTACTCATAACAATCAGAAGGTGAGAAAAGGACATTTAATCTAATCACATTTCTACATAGAATAAGTTGTTCAAATGGGTTTCCTTTGTCCTTGTTTTCATTTCTTATTAGTAACACAAGGAAAGCTACTGACTCCACACACAATGCGATAAGTAGACTTATCATAGGGGAACCAAATGCTGACATGATAGTTATTGAAACTATATTTTGAAAGTAGCTGACAATTCTCCTGAATGATTCAATTAACTTAGGTGAAATTATTTATTAATTCATTTAGGCAGTATTCATTAAGTACCCATAGTCTATCTTAACTAATCAAATACTGTGTAAAACTCTTGGACATATGATATGAACATATAAAACATATTCCATGCTTTTCAGAGACTTAAAATACAATACAGGGAGACAGAATTGTATAAAGCTTAAGAGCACTAATGTTTCCTTAAAATTTTTTAAAGAAAAAGAATGATATCTGATGGTCCAGTATGGTTACCTCTCTGAACTTATAACAAAACTGTTCTGAATATTTACTCGATAGAGTTCATTTACACAGTCCTTTGTTCCTATTTATTTTCACTTATAAACTGTTTTTAAAGTCATGAAAAAAAACAGCAAAAAGAGAAAGATGAAAAGAGATGGTAGCTGAAAGCAACATTCTGTACCTAACAGTTATGAATTATGTTTTATTCATTTTGCTCTATTAATTTCTCCAAAAGATTGTAGTTATTTCTGGCTAATGGAAATACTATGTATATCTGTTGTGTACTGCAAATATATACATATTTTGGTTATTGAATACCTAAATGCATGTATAGATACTACATTGTATATGTGGCCCTGATATGAAAGGCATATTAGAATTTAAGAAGGCATGGTGGGTAGTCATTTCCCATAAATTTGAAGTGTTTCTCAGACTGAAGATCCTAAGGAAGAAAAAAATGCTTGTGTAAAGGAAGAGTGCTCCCTATAGAGCTGGAAGGATTTTTAAAGAAAGGAAATGGAAATGATTTTTCTGAATTTCACTCAGGACCAAATACAAGGACAAGAAAAGATGTGATCTAAGTAGATTTCTTAAGTGTTTCAAATTTGAAAGTGGTTAATGAAGTGTGTTAAAAATATCCATCTCTGAAAAATATCTAGAATAGAATTTCCCTTTCCAAGATCTAATAGATAAGATGAACTGGATTCCTTCTCCAGGTCACTCTAACCTCTGAGAAATCCATGTGTTCTCTTCTGTAAGAACAGAGCCTCCTCCTCTCCTCCCCTACCCTGATCAGGTGAGGCAATTGACATTTTGTAACTGCTTTCTTAATGGGAATACCATAATAAACAGTGCCATCTACTGACTAACGTATGTCATTGAATACCTCTCAATAGTAGCAATTATTCTTGGGATTGGAAATCCTACTGTAATGTTTGTTATATGTTTACATCAGTCACATGTCATAGATACTTAAAGCTGCAGGTAATGTAGATATCATTTCTTTTTATCTTTTTTGGATTTCTAAGAGATGAGGAGATTGAGATCCAAAAAGATCAATTTGCCCAAAATTTTGAAGTAGCATTTTTCATTGAGTACCACTGTCAACTGAATCTTGAGATGGTAGGAAATTTAACATTTAGAGCTAGCAATCAGTCTGCAAAGTTGTCTATCCATTGATAAAAGAGTCTGACAGATGATTAATGAAACAAGCATGAAATCAATATAGCAAAGCAAGTTGGCAAATTGCTGATGTAAAGTTTGGGGAGAAGTACATGCTGACGTGCAGGCTTACAAAAAAAAATGAAAGAGGAAATAAAGTACTTTGCTTCTCTGTTCTTAACAACAGATGGTTGCAACTGTTTGATGATTGTTTTAGATGTGTTTTGTCATCACAAAAACATAATATAAAAAATGAATCCATTATGTTTTAAGACACATCTTGTCAATACCAATTTATAGCTTGAACTAAAATAAATCTAGCTATACTATATAATCTTTGAATTTATGGCAATTAGGCTGAGTAAAATAGGGTCAACTCAATAAAAAGGCTTTTTTTCATTATCAATAATTAAGCCCTATTTGGTTTCTATTTGTGCCCAAGAAACCCACTTAATATTTATTTCTATAAATAATATTCTTAATATTTATTTCTTAATTCTTAATACTTATTTCCATAAATATTAAGTTATTTCTATAAATATTAAGCCACATCTAAATATTGTATTCAGATAGGCTCATAGTTACATCATTCACAACATTTTAGTACAGGGCCTTGTTAATGTAAGGGGCTTAACGAATATTTGTGGAGTGGAACACTGGCGGAAAGATATTCTACCTTCTCATTTAAGGTGGTAAGTTGTCAAGTTGATTACTGTAACGGGCTAAAGTATTTTGTTATTAATGGTTTTAGGCTCATGCAAGTTTATATAAAGCATATGAGAATATTAGAAAATATAAAAGCAAGTTTATGTAAATGAGAATATTAGAAAATTTACAGCAACTTAGGAAATTTGGGGTTAATCAGCAGCCAGGTGAATCATATTAGAAAATATTGCTAAGTACAACACTCAAATTTTATCATATTTTCTACCTTTCAAACTTAGAGGTAAACAAAAGTCCTGAAAACCTAGGTTTGACCATAAGTTGGGACCATACGAGCATAGAAGGTTTGAGAATATGGCTTTCTTTCTCTGCTAACTGTACTCCCAGCACCTTTCCTTGAGTCACACTAGAGTTATCTAAGGAGCCAGAATCCACCAGAACTAAGACACCAAAGGTAATAGCATAGCCAAAGCACTGGAAAAATGTGCTTTCATAAGAGTTGCACTGCTCTGCAGGATACACATGGCTTTGAAAGTGGTTTTGAGATTAAAGACAGGGACTCACACTGAGGGTATATTCCAAGTCTCCACAAAGATGTCCTCTTGGCACAGGATCAGGACAAAGCCTAGAAATGCTGACTGCAGCAACTGAAGCAAATCCCAAAACCACATGACCGTTCAACAGAACACACGGATACTTGTTCTCCACACATGTATGTTGGGGTTTGGATAGGATTTCAAAATAGTTCACACTCAGCATCTTCTATTTCCAGGATCTTATTTGATGACCCCCTTCTCTTTCAATTATTTGATCAGAAGACTTGGAAAACATGACTCGACTTCATTTTCCTATTCATCTCAGAATTAATTTACATGCTGTATTTGCCATTTATGTGGTGCATTTATGTTCTGTGCCTTTTTTTTAAATCTCATGTTAGCAGAAATTTTAGACCTGTTTAAATTATATTTATTTGCAGGTGACTAGTAAAATGAGGATAATACAGTATGAACATGTTCCCTCTTCTTCCTGCTTTCTTTCTTTCTATTATGTTAAGTCCTCAGATACTCAAAACTGAAATACATCTTGATATGGTTTGGCTGTGTCCCCACCCAAATCTCAACTTGAATTGTATCTCCCAGAATTCCCATGTGTTGTGGGAGGGACCCAGGGGGAGGTAATTGAATCATGGGGGCCGGTCTTTCCCATGCTATTGCCGTGATAGTGAATAAGTCTCACAAGATCTGATGGGTTTATCAGGGGTTTCTGCTTTTGCTTCTTCCTCATTTTCTCTTGCTGCTGTCATGTGAGAGATGCCTTTCATCTCCCACCATGATTCTGAGGCCTCCCCAGCCATGTGGAACTGTAAGTCCAATTAAAGCTCTTTTTCTTCCCAGTCTTGGGTATGTCTTTATCAGCAGCATGAAGATGGACTAATACACATCCACTACATGATTACCAATATCTGTGGGCCAGTTATAAACTGCTTCATATAAATTTTGCAGTTAATAAACTGACTTAGGATTTGGTCAGTTTGGTCCCTAAATTTAAGGGAGAAAGGGTGTGTCTGTGTGTGTGTGAGTGTGTGTGTGTAAAAGAAGAAATATCAAAGCATACACATATCTATAGAGGCAACACTAACAACAAATAAGGAACATTCACTATGAGAAGAAGCCCAACCTATTACCCATTAAAAAAATTTAAAGCACAAATAGGTTGTAAAGAAATTTTATTTTATTTCATTTTACTTATTTATTTATTCATTTATTTATTTATTTATAGGAGGTATCTCACTCTTGTTGCCCAGGCTGGAGTGCAGTGTCATGATCTTGGCTTACTGCAATGTCTGCTTCCCGGGTTCAAGCCATTCTCCTGCCTCAGCTCTCCGAGTAGCTGGGATTACAGGAATACACGGCCATGCCCAGCTAATTTTTGTGTTTTTAGTAGAGTCAGGGTTTTGTCATGTTGGCCAGGTCTCGAACCTCTGACCTCAAGTGATTTGCCTGCCTGGGCCTCCCAAAGTGCTGGGATTACAGGTGTGAGCCACCATGTCCGGCCAAGAAGTTTTAAAATGTAGAATGCACCACAGACGAAGAGAAACGGCAAGGCTCTGTTTAATCCTCCCATTTTCCATAGATGTCATTTACAAATTCAGATAGCAGTCTCCTCATACATCAGCAAAAGAGTTCTCCCACCACAAAAGCTCAAAGTCTTTTTTTAAATAGCAAATGAAAACTTGGTAAATGTTTGAAAAATCCTGGCCCTTCAGTAAAACTCTTGTTGAAGAGTGTGCCTGTGTCATTCCAGAAAGAGTACCAACACAAACTGTCAGTTTCATGTAGGTCACAATTGCTCATGGTTTTACAATCATATTAACTTAGAAAGAAAACATACATTTTCCCCATCTCATTCTTATTACTCCTAAAAGAAGAATCCATTAGGGAGTCTGTTTAATTTTACACGTGTGAAAATTCTCTGAGCATGAGACACGGGATTCTAAATATACTTGCTTTTTCCTTATGGTATAACTTTTTCTTTTTTCCTTTGAGACAGAGTCTGGCTCTGTTGCCCAGGCTGGAGTGCAGTGGCGCAATCTCTGCTCACTGCAAGCTCCGCCTCCCAGGTTAATGCCATTCTTCTGCCTCAGCCTCCCGAGTAGCTGGGAGTACCACGCCGGCTAATTTTTTGTATTTTTAGTAGAGACGGGATTTCACCATGTTAGCCAGGATGGCCTTGATCTCCTGACCTTGTGATCCACCTGCCTCAGTCTCCCAAAGTGCTGGGATTACAGGCGTGAGCCACCGCGCCCGGCCTCCTTATGGTATAACTTTCTCACCAGACAAATTCTCTATCATCCAGAGTCATGCCTCAAATTATAATAGCAAATGCAATTCATGAAGGAGTGAAGTTAAAATATGAACAATAATTATTTACTACTTATATATTAGGTAACTAAAGGTGTGACATCTAATAGGATCTAGCCAATTAGTTAAGTGGCAGACAGCAAAGCTCTAAAAAATAAATTCTCTACTTGATTCATGTCTCTCAATTACCACATTTTAAAGTTAAGCTTGAAAGTTATTAAAAATTGCAACCAAAACCCTACCACTAGCAATGATCAAAAAGCAAGCCTGTGGATTTTGGATTAGTTTTAATTCCTACTGATTTGGAAAAAGAAAATCCAAGTCCTTCTCACAAACACCCCCTCCTAATTAATCATCTTTCTAAAGTCGTCTGGTGGGGCAGAACAAAGTCAGCTTCTGCTTCAGCCACTTCAATCCTTTAGAGCCCAATTCATGGAGCTATTTGTATATCCGGGTCTATTCATAGTTTTGAGCATATCTTGATAGAAATAGGCAGATATTAACAACCTCTTCAATTCTATCAAGTAGAGCTTCGACAATAAGTTAAGTTTCAATCCACAGAATCCAGTGGCCGAGTTAGGATTGTTGTGCTCCAACGTGCCATTCCCATGCTACCCTTCAGGTGGATACACCTGTGTTTTCAAAGAGAGTCAGAGGCACACTAGGGAAGCCCATGCAGGGGAAATCTATTGGATGTCATTTAGGATGAGGCATCAGCTTAGGTGTTTTCTCCTTAGTTTTCTCATCCAAATCAGAGCCCTGGCTTGAAGAGTTGTCTAATTGCAGACTTTTTCCCTTCCTTGGGGGCTGTATCTTCTTTACATTTTAATCATTATACTGGGAGGTCTTTTATAAATAGGATGAAAATATAATTAAATATATTTGCAGATGATTTTTGAGAATGAAAGAGAAAGGTGTTAATAATGACACCAGGAAAACAGATATAAACCAGGACTGCCTGAACAAATATGGATATATGGACACTATAAAGCCTCTAGGGTTTTAGAAAAGAAATGAAGACTCTCAATGGGTCCATATACCACCAGTGCTGTTTGGTGAACACTTTGCCATCATTCAAAGCCCATTCCTTTGTAATTATTTTTTGTCTTTCACTTCAAATGTTCCCTGGCAAAGGAATCATCTGTTCTATCCAGCTCTCATCTTTGCAATATATCCAACTTACATTTGGCACAAGTAGATTATATATACATGGTCTTAAACACAGTAGAAGAGATAGTAATAGGAATGAATGAAAAATCAAGTAATATGCTGGTTTGCCAGAGAAATACTGATGTTCAAAATGTTGACCAGGTTCTTCAGGATTGCTTAAAGTTTGCTTGGAACTATTCATCATAATTTATTTGACAGTGTCCTTAGTATTCTCACTAGTGAAATGTCTTATACAAACTAATGAATGATTAGAATACCATTCAGAGAATCATCATCATTACTATGCATGGTTTATCATGTGGGATTTTTTCTTTTGGCTTGAGTGTATTTCAAGTATAAATTTTCTATTCTATAATATTTTTCATTCTAGTCTTTAAAAAGTGGGTATCGAAAATATAGATGCATTTTCCATTGTGTGATTTTTTTCCTTCAGTTTCTAATCGTTAGTAGCTATATAACCTTTGTAGATATTTTGAACTGCTTTTGATAAGTACCTTTTGCTTAATTAGAAAGTTATGTTAAAAAAGAAATGCAAATCAAAACCACAATGATGTACCACTTCATACCCTTTAAGATGGCTAAAATACAAAAGATAATAACAAGTGTTGACAAGGATGTGGAGAAATCAAAACCATCATGCCCTACTGATGAAAATGTAAAATGATGCAGCCACTTAGCAAAATAGTTTGGCAGTTCCTCAAAGAGTTAAGCATAGAGTTATCATGTGACCCAGCAATTCCACTCCATGGTATTGAACCAAGAGAAATGAAGCCAAGTGTACACACAAAAATTCTTACAAATAGTGGTGCTATGAGTGTACATACAAATGCATTTATAGCACCATTATTTGTAAGAACCAAAAAGCAGGAAAAATCTATAAATTAATAAAGGGATAAATAAATAAATTAATTAATGGATCAACTAAATAGAAAGAATAGCTGTCAACTAATAAATGGATATATTCATTCAAGGGAATATTATTCAGAATAAAAAGAAATGAAGTACTGATATATGCTACAACATGGATGAATCTGGAAAACATTATGTTAAATGAAAAAAGCTAGTCACAAAAAAACCTCACATATTATATGATTTCATTTGTATGAAATGTCCAGAATAGGAAAATCTATGAAGACAGAAAATAGATTTGTGGTTTCCTAGGACTGAAAGGATGGGGAGGTTAGAATATGACAGCTAAGGAGTGCAAGGTTTTGTGGGGTAATAAAAATATTCTAAAGTTGATTGTGATGATGGACACTCAACTGTCAATACATTAAACACCAGCGAGTTGTATACTTTAAATGGGTGAATTATATACCATGTGAGGTTTATCTCAATAAAACTGTTTTTTAAAAAAAGGTAGTTAGGATATATTTTTCTTACAAAACTGTAGGCCAAGAACACATTCATTCATAAGTAAGAGACGATCACAAAAAATACATAAAATTAAAATAGAAGCACATTAGCAGGCAAATCAATTGCTAGTTAAATCATGAAATGTGTAACTCAGTAACGAGTGATTTCTAAAAGTCCCACATGAAGGGAGAAAACACAAATCCTAGGCAGTTAAATTCCTAGTTGAGTAATGATAAAAAGATAAGTTGCAGAGCTATGAAGATGAATTTTCATAGCTGGGCAGATCCTTCTAGATTTATTCCTGACAGAAGATCTGCTCATTAAGCCAAGAAGTAGAAATTATGGTTG